>NW_003315917.2:959128-1138692 GCF_000001405.40 Homo sapiens
CCTGTGATGGGGCTCAAGAATTTGCTTTTTTTTTTTTTTTTTGAGATGGAGTCTCATTCTGTTGCCCAGGCTGCAGTGCAGTGGTGCGATCTTGGCTCACAGCAACCTCCGCCTCCTGGATTCAAGTGATTCTCCTGCCTCATCCTCCTGAGTAGCTGGGATTACAGATGCCCTTCACCACGGCCGGCTAATTTTTGTATTTTTAGTAGAGACAGGGTTTCACCATGTTGGTCAAGCTGGTCTCGAACTCCTGACCTCGTGATCTACCCACCTCAGCCTCCCAAAGTGCTGGGATTACAGGCATGAGGCACCGCGCCTGGCCAAGAATTTGCATTTCTAATGACTTCTTGGGTGATGCTAATGCTACTTACTGGTCCAAACACTACATTTAGAGTCACTGACTGTAGAGATCCTTAAAAGATCCCTATTCCTCCAAAGAGTCAATTCTTAATGCTTAAAACTTGAACTAGGCTGGGCACAGTGGCTAACGTCTGTAATCCCAGCACTTTGGGAGGCCTAGGAGAGAGGATCATTTGAGGCCAGGAGTTGACACGAGCCTGGACAGCACAGCAAGAGTCCATCTCTTAAAAAAAAAATTCAGCCAGGCATGGTGGTGCACACCTGTAGTCCTAGCTACTTGAGAAGCTGAATTGGGAGGATCACTTGTGCCCAGGAATTCAAGGCTGCAGTGAGTTGATTGTGCCATTGCACTCCAGCCTGAGAGACAGAGTGATACTGCCTCAAAAAAACAAAAATTTAAATTTAAAACAGAAACACAAAAAACCTAAATTATCCCCTAAGGCTGGCCACGGTGGCTCACACCTGTAATCCCAGCACTTTGGAAGGCCAAGGTGGGTGGATCACTTGAGGTCAGGAGTTCCGAGACCAGCCTGGTCAACATGGTGTGAAACCACGTCACTACTAAAAATACAAAAATCAGCCAGGCATGGTGGCACATGACTGTAGTCCCAGCTACTCGGGAGGCTGAGGCAGGAGAATCACTTGAACCCGGGAGGCAGATGTTGCAGTGATCCAAGATCATGCCACTGCACTCTAGCCTGGTTGACAGAGCAAGACTCTGTCACAAAAACAAAAACAAAAAGTAAATAAATTATCCCCTAAGAGGAGTATATCCCAGGAAAGTGTAACACCTGAAACTTAAAAGATTATCTGCCCTGATGATAAACGATAGAAAAGAGACAGGCCAGGCCAAAGTTTGTCAACTGGTGGACTGAAGATAAGTTTTATTTAGCCTCTGTGTTTTTCTAAATTAGAGGCTAACATCTCAAACTTGGGAGAATTCACTTTAAAAATCCAGTTTTTACGGCTGGGCATGGTGGCTCACGCTTGTGATTCCAATACTTTGGAAGACTGAGGTGTGCAGATTACTTAAGCTCAGGAGTTCAAGACCAGCCTAGGCAACATAGGAAGACACTGTCTCTACAAAAAAAAACTTTTTAAAAATTAGCCAGGCACAATGGCACACACCTGTGGTCCCAGCTACTAGGGAGTCTGAAGTGGGACCATCACTTGAGTCTGGAAGGTCGAGACTGCAGTGAGCCATGATTGCACCAATGCACTCCAGCCTGGGGAACAGAGCAAGGCTTTGTCTCAAAAAAAAAAAAAAAAAAAAAAAAAAAAAAAATCCAGATTTAGTTTCTCTTTAAGTATCATTCCCAGAAGAAAAAAATAGGCTGGGGCCAAATAATGGTTACCTCACTTTATTTTTACATTTTTTTGAATTAAGTAACAAAATTTAAAAAATACAAAAGGATGTACAGTGAAAAGTACATCTCCCTTCTATCCCTGATCCCCAGACTCTCAGAGGCTGCCTCCTTTAGATGGGGCGGGTGCTTTCCAGATGTCCCCACTCTGCATCAACTGGCCCTCTTTCACTTATCTGCATTGTCTGCCTGACCCCTTTAGACATCTGAGCTGCCTCCCAACCCATTTTACCACGCCTCTCCTGCATCCCCTTAACACTTGGCATGTCTGTCGTTAGCACTTTCACACAAGCTTCTTTACAAGGCTGTGTCTTTTTAGATGGGGAGATTCACAGATGCATGAGGTTAGGTTTACATCTTCTTTTGACTATCTACATCCCTGATAACTAGGATGGTGTCAGACTTATGGCAGATGTACAAGTTTGTTGAGTGAATTAATAAATTAATGAATGGGCAAATTGTGTATTGTTTCCAGGGTCCTGAGGTGTGACGCAAATAGCAATTCAGTCAGGTGAAATCAATAATTTAGATCCCATCAGGATCCCAGCCGAGTCCCCAGTCCATCTTGTAACACTTCTCCCCAGAACATACTTAAATTACCTGGAAATAATGAATCCTCTGCCCTTACAGAACTGGATCCAAAGCAGGCACTAGGGCACTCTAAGACTACTTCTCAGAAGTGTGACAACCTCCTGTACCCTTTTTCTCCTTACTACAGGGCCCAAGGACTGAAACTTCTTACCTTTTCTCCTAAACTCTGCCACCCACTAATGGCCTCAGGACTGGGATTCCACTAACCCACTCCCCAAGGGCTGATTGCACCCTTTCTTTGTCACCACTCATGAAATCATTTCATGCTATGAATTGGCCAACCGTTCTAGAGATATAGCTGAACACAGACATGACCAGAAACATGAGGAAGTTATAAAGTATTGAGAAATCCTTCTAGAAGTAGATGCAATGCCACACCACTGAGCACGAGATCTGGCTTCCTGAGCAGTTACCAAAGGACAAGATGACACAGCCCTGTGGGCAAACTAGGATCAACGGGAAATGGAAGAACTTAGGAAACTAAGTTACTTCTCCTTCCTCCCTTCAATGGACTGCTCAGAGGGGCAGTTTCTCCTTATAAACCTTCTGGAGAAGCCCCACACTCTAAGTGAACACACTTGCTGGAAGGCTCCTGTATCTCGTCACAGCTTGTCATGAAGCCTGGTCACTGCAGTAACACAATGCATCACGTTTTTCCTTGCTTTGCTTTCCCTTTTCTTCCACACTCTCACCCCCCTAGATCTGTCCCTCCCTAATAAAGTAACAATACTTTCATCTTTGCCTCAGGTTCTACTTCCTAGGGGACCTAAGTTAAGAAATTCTTGTTGTTGACCAGGCGTGGTGGCTCACGCCTGTAATCCCAGCACTTTGGGAGGCCAAGGCAGATGGATCATGAGGTCAGGAGATCGAGACCATCCTGGCTAACACAGTGAAACCCCGTCTCCAGTAAAAATACAAAAAATTAGCCAGGCGTGGTGGCAGGCACCTGCAGTCCCAGCTACTCGGGAGGCTGAGGCAGGAGAATGGCATGAACCCGGGAGGTGGAGCTTGCAGTGAGCTGAGATCGCGCCACTGCACTCCAGCCTGGGCGACAGAGCGAGACTCTGTCTCAAAAAAAAAAAAAAAAATTCTTCTTGTTGTAATTTATTGTTGTTGCAATTTTTGTTTGTTGTAATTTCTAGGGTAACCACTGAAAGAATAAAAACAAAGTATACAATTTTCAAACTAGTGACGAAAAACATAGAATGGTAGAAAGTAAGTAATCAAAAAGAAGGCAAGAAGGAAAAGATCGTATCAAATATGTAGTTAAAAAAATTTAAAAAAACGAAAGATGGAATTGTTGGAACCAATAACACAAAGATAATAGACTTAAACCCAAATATATCAGTGGTAATCTTTTAATAAATATTTATATTTATTATATATATTTATATATTTTAATATATAATATATTAAAATATATATTATATATAAATATATATAAATATATAAATATAAATATAAATAATATATTTATAAATATAATATTTATAATAAATAAAATATATCAGTGGTAATCTTTTAATAAGTAAATATATTTATTAAATATAAAAGGTACACAGTAAATATAAATGAACTAAATGCTTTAGTTAAAAGACAATAAAAATTATGAAATAAAAATGTATACACTTGAAAGTATTTAAAATAAATCTAATTTTCATAATGAATTTTAAGCATTAAGGAGTTTTGTAACTGAATAGTGGAACTCAGAAAGACATCCTATTCAGAAGGATCTCTCATGATAATAGTTTCCTTCACTATTGTAGTATACTGTAGAGTTTCAAGAAAAAAATTAAAGGCCAAAACTGTCTTACATTACCATTGCTGTTTCTGCAATCTTCAACAAACCAAAATTTTCTCTGTAATTGTGAAAAAAGAACTCCTCCTTAAGCATAACTAAAATTTTGCCTTAACCTTATCAAATACCCAAAACTGTAGAAAGAGATAAAGCTGTTAATAGAGACATGGGTATCCCTTTTTATCAGGTCAGGAGGGTAAGTCTCTAATAGAGAGTTCTAGTAACTTCTCAAAAGGTAACTAATGAAGGCCTTCCTTCTAAACCAGATAGGGGGAGATAGAATGCTCTGAGTATTAAAGGCATCTCCTGCAAGCCACTGATACCTTTGTTGACAGAGCACACAGAAGAAAATAGCAGTTACCAGGTTACCTATAGGTGAAATTTGTTTCCACATAAAGAACCACTGGGTCCAGGCTCATGGAGTATGACTCCTGAGAGAAACTCCCGTTACTCTGATCAGTGTGTGTGTGTGTGTGTGTGTGTGTGTGTGTGTGTGTGTGTGTATTAAAAATGAATATTCCTGGGCTCCCAATAAACTCTCCAGGGTGGGATTACGTTGTCTTTACTGATAATGTTCTTAACTAAAAATTCTTAGTTATAAAATCACAAATTTCGGCCGGGCACGGTGGCGGAGGTGGGTGGATGACCTGAGGTCAGGAGTTGGAGATCAGCCTGATCAACAAGGTGAAACCCCGTCTCTACCAAAAATGCAAAAATTAGCCAGGCGTGGTGGCAGGCGCCTGTAGTCCCAGCTACTCAGGAGGCTGAGACAGGAGAATGGCTTGAGCCTGGGAGGCGGAGGTTGCAGTGAGCCAACAGCAGGCCACTGCACTCCAGCCTGGGCGATGGAGCAAGACTCCATCTCAAAAAAAAAAAAAAAAAATCACAAATTTCATAGTGAAACTCAAGTTAGAGTACCTGAAGTTTATATACATAAAATAGACATACCTTTGCTATGAAAGCCTGATTTACTCTTTTTTTTTTTTTTTTCTTGAGACAGAGTCTAGCTCTGTCGCCCAGGCTGGAGTGCAGTGGAGCGATCTCGGTTCACTGCAAGCTCCGCCTCCTGGGTTCACACCATTCTCCTGCCCCAGCCTTCCGAATAGCTGGGACTACAGGCGCCCGCCACCAGGCCCAGCTAATTTTTTGTATGTTTAGTAGAGACGGGGTTTCACCGTGTTAGCCAGGATGGTCTCGATCTCCTGACCTCGTGATCTGCCCGCCTCGGCCTCCCAAAGTGCTAGGATTACAGGCGTGAGCCACCGCGCCCGGCTGAAAGCCTGATTTACTCTTAACTGGATATAACCAGAAAGAGTTCTGCCCACAATGATATATCTGCATTGAATCTAAAACACAGACTTCATCATACATTCTCACCTAAATTTCTCTGATGACCCAGAGTAAGGCAAAAGGTTTAGCATATGAGAGTGAAAGGATTTGAATCTCACTTTCTGTCAAACTTTAGAGCTCTGTTAACCATGGTTAGTATCAACTATGATTTTAGGCAACTTTGCTTATAGTAAAAATAACTCGTTAATTGTTACGTATCTGGATTGGGATGCACTATAAATAAATGGAGTCTTCAAGCTTTAGGCTTTCCTGAGTGTAGTGACTCTTGAAATTGACACATCCCTTGTGGATACCTGGAAGCTGTGTTTATGGAATTGTTAAGAGATATTGGTTCCTTGATGCCTGTGGAGGATCTTATCTCCTTGCACCCAAATTGTACTAGTGGACTGCTACAAGGACTTCCACTGCTAATGAGGACTGCTTGATGCTGTGCTGGCAGGCTGTTGTTTCTGTTTAATATCCTTCTGAGTAAGCGGGTACCAAGTATGGCCATGGCAGTCTTGTGAGTTTGAATGTTTAATGTAAAGTGACTTCTGTTGGTCATAGCCACAAATAATTTCAGATGTACTAACTTGATAAACATATTCCAGATGTTTGGTTAAACCTAAAAAGACCTCTCTGGTGGATGTAGCAGTACATCATTTCATATGTATTAATTTCATAACTTTTTTTTTTTTTGAGAGGGAGTCTCACTCTAGGGTGGAGTGCAGTGGCACAATCTCGGCTCACTGCAACCTCCGCCTCCTGGGTTCAAGCGATTCTCCTGCCTCAGCCTCCCAAGTAGCTGGGACTCCAGGCGTGAACCACCATGCCCGGCTAATTATTTTTTGTATTTTTAGTAGTGACGGGGTTTCACCATGTTGGCCAGGCTGGTCTCGAACTCCTGACCTCAAGTGATCTGCCCACCTCAGCCTCCCAAAGTGTTGGGATTACAGGTGTGAGCCACAGCGCCCAGCCTAATTTCATAAGTATTGATAAATTTTCATCTTACACTGAATTTACATTCAGACTTAACTTTCTTCTTACACTAAATTAATGAATTAACATAAATCATAAAGATTCTATATTTAATTATAAAAACATAAAATTATCACATCAATTTAATTCTTATAAGTTTATACATACTGCATAATGACTTTGAAAACAGTATAACTCAAAATAATAGAAAACAAAATTAATTGAATGAAGTACTACTGAATTTCAGGTATTTCTGTGACAACACAAATTTAAAATTTAATAAAATATTACCTTTTCTTAGCAAAAAGTTTCTTAAGTCAGATTATCCTTTCATGTTTTAAATGAAGCTTCTTCTAAAGAAGTCCTTTTATTCACAGTTGCAAATTTCTTTTTAACACATACAATGTATACTACATGCTGGAATCAAACACCTGAAGGAGCTGGAATCTTATGAATACAGCCAGGGCAACAGTGTAGAGAATCATGAACAAAAACATCACAGTCCACACAGAAAACATTTTGGCACACAGCACAAACATAAACCTGTAGTGAAAAGAAGAAAAGTGATAAACTAGTTTCCAAAAGTTAATTACAGCACAGCTAGATGACATTCAAGGTGTGCTTTGCTCTTTTATATCTCTACCAATTTTTTCCCACTACCTACTTTATTACTTCCAATGTACTCTATATTCTCAAATCTAAGGCAATTAATTTTTTCCCCAAAACTATCCCTTAGAAATGAGGGAATGGTTTTGTTTTTGAGTCTTTAAAGTCTATTCTATTACAGTTCGCTCTCAATTATTTCATTCTAAGGTTTAGGAAAGACATATGAGCTTCAAACCAGCGCTACTTTTGAATGCTTAGCAAGACCACCTGATTGATTCAATTAAAAAGAGAAGCATAAAAATTTAACATCGATTTAATTATTCTTAGGGAATGACCTCACAATTGCAAACATATTTCCCTTTCAAGTAAACCTTTAAAAAAATATGTCAAATGACACAGATAAGACAAGCAGAAAGGAAAAAACTACATTTGTTCTTTCAGCATTACATATATGAGTACTTGCTCCTTGGGATAAAATTTCCAGGGCAGCTTCATACACAGATTCAAAAATCACTAAATCTCAGAAGTATTTGGCTTTGAATAAAAAAAAAAAAAAAGAATGAATAAATAAATTTCAAACAACACAGACAATGACCTATTCTTAAAAACTCAAATGAGGCCGGGTGTAGTGACTCACGCCTGTAATCCCAGCACTTTGGGAGGCCAAGGCGGGTGGATTGCTTGAGCCCAGGAGTTCAAGACCAGCTGGTCAACATGGTGAAACCCAGTCTCTACTAAAAATACAAAAATTGGCTGGGCATGGTGGTGCACGCCTATAATCCCAGCTGCTTGGGAGGCTAGGCATGAGAATCACTTGAACTTGGGAGGCAGAGGTTGCAGTGAGCCAAGATTGCATCACTGCACTACAACCTGGGTGACAGAGCAAGAGTCTGTCTCAGAAAATAAAACCAAAAAACTGTCAAATGATTCAAAAAGTGGTTCCAGTTAAGAGTAAACTACTGATGTCAAAGAGGTATATAAAATTTAATAAAATTACTTTATAAATTGTGACAGTGGAAGAGCAATACTTCTAATTATTATTTTATATAATATATATAGTTTTAAATATGAACATGTAACTAAATTAAAAATTAAAGCTAGACAGTGATCCATATTATTTACATCTATACAAATTTATTTATTAAAGTTGGCCCTCTTCAAAATTTAAAAAAGTATTTTCTCATTGGCATAATGGAAGAATCACCTATTATCTGTGGCCACCTTAAACAATTTCAATGTGTTATCACACAGCTTAAAGTATAATATGAAGAAAATATTTTAAATACTTTCAGACTAAATGCAGTTTAGCTTGAAAGCTAAAGACAAATTACATGTTTTACAAGGGTGTACCAAAGTAGACAAAACAATCAAAGAATTTAAAAAAAGAGGAAAAAAATTAAAAAATTTTTAATAAAAAGTTTTAAAAAGATGAATTACAAAATACTTTATAGCAAAAATTAGAATGCAGAATAACAAAACTACTATTTAAACTATTTTGTTCCTATTTTACCTTCACCTATTGTCATTATCTTTACAAGAAATAAACTGATATGAGCCTGGTCTTTAACAACCTGTTGAAAACTTATAGTACCATTGATTTCAATATTTCTTGTACATTACTTAATATTTAGAAAGCCAAAGAACTTACATGTTGGTCTTTCAATTCCCCCTGACATCCATAACAAAATCTGAAAAAAAAGTTTAACAATGTTTTTTCTTAGAATTTACTCATTAAAATAGTTCAACAAAATCTCACTAACTAGAATCCTTTAATTAATATGTACTTGTCTTTACACATGACTTTCAGGAAAAAGAGTTAAGAATACCAATAGGCCAGGCACAGTGGCTCACGCCTATAATCCCAGCACTTTGGGAGGCCGAGGCGGGTGGATCACCTCAGGTCAGGAGTTCGTGACCAGCCTGGCCAACGTGGCGAAACCCCGTCTCTACTAAAAATACAAAAATTAGCTGGGCGTGATGGCAGGCGCCTATAATCCCAGCTACTCAGGAGGCTGACGCAGGAGAATCGCTTGAACCCAGGACACGGAGGTTGCAGTGAGCCGAGATGGTGTCATTGCACTCCACACTGAGCAACGGGAGCAAAACTCTGACTCACAAAAAAAAAAAAAAAAAAAAAAAGAATAGCAATAATTTAAAAAAAAATTCCACAGTATATACAAGGTCATCTGACAGCCCAAAATTTAGTTTTTATTTTCATTAAGGTTAACTGTGAGCATGCTTTATTTTTCTTTGTTTTCGAGTCAGGGTCTTGCTTTGTCTCAAAGGCTGGAGTGCTGAGGTGCTATCACAGCTCACTGCAGCCTCAACCTCCTGGGCTCAAGTGATCCTCCTGCCTCAGCCTCCTGAGTAGCTGGGACTACAGGCATGTATCTCCATGCCTGGCTAATTTTTTATTGAGGCAGGGTCTCGCTATATTGCCCAGGCTCGTCTCGAATGCCTGGGCTCAAGCAATCCTCCTATCTTGGCTTCCCAAAGTGTTAGGATTACAGGCATGAGCCACCATGCCCAGCCAGAAGCACTTTCTAACGTTTGTTTGATAGTCACTTATTCTAATAAGTGCTACTTTGTGATTCTTCACAGTTATTGGCTATAAATCTCCAACTATGAAAGAAGAGAATTTAATTATCTTTCAATCATCTTGAACCCAGTAATGCATAAATATTTAACTAGTGTCATTCTCAATTCTTTCTACATAGTGAAGTCTTCCTTTTGGATAGAACAATAATCAATGTTTAGTTTACTATGCCTATAAAAATATTCTCAGCTAAGCCATAAGTTTTCCCCTATTTAAAACATTTTTTTTTTTCCTGGAAATACTGTGTTGCTATTCCCAAGGTTAGTTTCCTATATAATTGACACTAATTCAGGCCCAATCTTCTCCGGAATAGTCTAACTGTCCTCTCGATATGTTCAAATACATCAGGAGTTCTGCAGTTTTCATCCCCTTGGTGATCTCTCTCCTGGAGCATCCTGACTGTCTCCAAACTGGACGGTTCCCCATATGTGACACACAGGTATCATTCTGGAATTTCTCCTTACCATCATCCTAGGCCGTTCTTCAGCCTGTTTTGAATTAGATACATATTACTAGATCCCATGTCATTCTCCTTCTCAGTTCCTTTGAATCACCTACCTCTTCCAGACCTTCCCCAGAAAAATCTCTTTTTGAGACCTTACAAGTCTGAAAATGTCTTTATTCTACCTACACTTAACTGACAGTTTGGCTGGGTATCTAAGTTGGTAACAATTTTCACTACAAACTTTGAAGGTGACTGCTCCCTCTCTGCATCCGGTGTTGCTAATGAGAAGCCAAACAATTTTAATTCCAGATCCTTTGTGTGTGACCTAGTTTTTCCTCTCTGGAAATGTTTAGGGTTAATGGTTTATTGTGTATTCTGAAATTTCACAATTATGGGGTCTGCCTTCCTTCAATACGTTAGGCACTTGGCAGTCCCTTTCTTTTATCTTCGTTGCAGAGATGAGGTCTTGCTGTGTGACCCAGGCTGGCCTGGAACTCCTGGCCTCAAGTGATCCCCCAGTCTCAGCCTCCCAAAGTGCAAGGATTAGAGCTATGAGCCACCCTTCCCAGCCAACAGGCCCTTTCAATCTAGAAAGTTCCGTCCTTCAATATAAAATTTCTTTGAACTATGTCTTTGATGATTTTCTATCCTACTTTTTTTCTTTTTTTCTCGTATCATTCTCATTGGACCTTCTGGATAATTCCACCAGTATTCTTATCTTTACTCTCCTATTTGAACCTCTTTATTTTACTCCTTTTATTGTACTTTCTGGAATATTTCTTCAACTCTATCTTCTATAGTACTGGGTTTTTCATTTTTACTATATTTAACCTCAACCATAAGCAAATAAATACCAAGCTAAAACAATGAGACTTTTTTCTTTTTCTTTTGCCTGTGAGTTTTGGCCAATATAAAAAAGTTTCATAATACCTAATGTTGGCTAAATGTGGGAAAACAATAAATGAAAGTTCTTTGAAGAACAACTTTACAATATCTATCAAAATTCACAAAACATGTAAAACTCTTGACTCAGTAATTTTACCTCTAGGAATTTACCATGCATTTATACTTGTACAAATGTTCAAAAATATAGATATAAGCATTATTTGTTAATAGCAAAAAAAAAACCTTAAATATCCAACAGGAAGCAATTGATTATATAAACCATAATTATACCTGAAATATGCAACAATTTCAAAAACAACATTGATCTAGATATGGTGATACTGAATGACTTCTAAATGATTTAAGTGTGAAAAGCAAGATGGATACATAATTGTTTTCGGCTAGCCAGTAAGTGTTTAATGTGACTCCTAAATCCTGGATGTTCTTTTTTTTTTTGATGGAGTTTCGCTCTTGTCGCCCAGCTGGAGTGCAATGGTGTGATCTTGGCTCACTGCAACCTCCACCTCCCTGGTTCAAGGGATTCTCCTGCCTCAGCCTCCTGAGTAGCTGGGGATTACAGGCACCTCCCACCACACCCGGCTAATTTTTATATTGTTAGTAGAGATGGTGTTTCACCATGTTGACCAGGCTGGTCTCGAACTGCTGAAGTGCTGGGATTACAGGCGTGAGCCACCGTGCCAGCCGATCCTAGATGTTCTTAAAAGTAGTAAATCTTTATTTTCTGAAAACTATTCTATAAAGGATTGACTACCTCTATTTCAGACTTTATTTGTTGTATTTCACACAAATAGCATTCGTAAAAATACTTAAAGATTTTAGATAAATTATGTTATGCCAGATTTTTTTTTTTTTGAGACGAAGTTTCGCTCTTGTTACCCAGGCTGGAGTGCAGTGGTGCGATCTTGGCTCACCGCAACCTCTGCCTCTCGAGTTCAAGCGATTCTCCTGCCTCAGCCTCCCGAGTAGCTGGGATTACAGGTATGCACCACCACACTAGGCTAATTTTGTATTTTTAGTAGAGATGGGGTTTCTCCATGTCATTCAGGCTGGTGTTGAACTCCTGACCTCAGGTGATCTGCCTGCCTTGGCCTCCAAAAGTGCTGGGATTACAGGTATGAGCCACCATGTCCAGCTTTTTTTTTCTTTTTTAAGAGACAGTGTCTCACTATGTTGCCCCAGCTAGTCTTCAACTCCTGGCCTCAAGTGATCCTCCCACCTCAGCCTCCCAAAGTGCTGAATGAGCCTCTTATTTTCAGTAGTGTGCTAGGACTGGATTGTACTGGATCAAAAGGATATATTGTTAAATATGTATTCAAGAAAGCTGGTTGTTAATTGTAGCTAAAAATTGGCCATGGTGGGAGTATTCAAACCATGGAAATCAGCAAATACTACCAATCAGGGCTTTTTTTCTTTTCCTTCTGGAAAACTGATTTAGTAGTACAATCATCACCCCTATTTATACATAGGTGGGTTTAGTGAAATTATTTGGTTTCTGGAGATTCAGATCTATTTAGCAACGAGTCATTTCAATCATAACTATGGCATTCTTTATCTCATCTTCCATATTAGAAGTACTCTTGTCCAAGTTAATCAGATTATTTTTTAAGGTAGTAACAATCTATTCAAACATTAGCTTACCACTTATAACAGATATAAATTAGTCCAAACTGAAATACCTTTCTCCATTATATTCTTCTAGGGGAATTTCTTGAAAAGCATCCAAAGGAAACAAATGATGGTAAGACCGTGCCAAGTGGGGAGCAGACACCAAAGTAAGACCTAACACATTAAGCAGAGAGACATGTTGAGTAGTCCAAACCTCATGAAGACAACGGCTGAAAAGCCAAAAGATGTAACTTCAGCAGAATATGTTCAGTTTCTTTTAGGATGGCAGTTATTAATTTTACCTGTGGCTATAACAGAAGATTGTAGGATGGAGTCTTAGTTCTGTCACTAAGTGTGTAACCAACCTGTCTCGGTCTATTTGCTTACTTATATTATAAATGAAATAAAATTCGACAATTCTATTAGTTTAATTCTTCATTCTTATATATATTTACTTTATAAAGGTAAGAGATGGAAAAATGTCTACTACATCTACTGCACTGCCTTTAAAGAATATACTTTTTTCAGAAAGAGGATCAGGAAACTAGAATGCTACATTTATACATGGAAGTGGAGTACTGGGCACTCAATTTAAAAAGTAATCTATTTTTCTTTGCACAGATTAAATCCAGAAACATAGGAATAACTTAACATTTACATTAATTTTAGCAGCAATACAGATTAAGAAGTCATTCAAGATTTACTGAATAATGAATAGTTGTTTTCTTACCACAGATTTTACATTCAACAGGTAGCTCACAGTACTTTGCCCGACACTGTGGGCAGAAATAGCCTCCTAATGTAAGCCCTGGCTCAGTATTGCCATCCAAATGCCTGTAGGGGGAAAAAGGGTAATATATAATGATCTGAAAAGTTAGAGCGGGAAAGCATGCTATCTTGACCTTAAAATCTTGACACTATTTAAAAATCTATTTAAAAATCTGTATTTTTGGCCGGGCGCAGAGGCTCACACCTGTAATCCCAGCACTTTGGGAGGCCAAGGCGGGTGGATCACCTGAGGTCAGGAGTTCAAGACCAGCCTGGCCAACACGGTGAAGCCCCATCTCTACTAAAAAATACAAAAATTAGCCAGGCGCCTGTAATCCCAGCTACTTGGGAGGCTGAAGTAGAATTGCTTGAACCCAGGAGGCAGAGGTTGCAGTGAGCTGAGATTGCACCACTGCACTCCAGCCCGGGTGCCAAGAGTGAAACTCCATCTCAAAAAAAAAACAAAAGAAGTCTATATTTAAAAAAAAATTTATAACTTATATAGAGATGGGGGTCTCTCACTATATTGCTGGTCTTGAATTCCTAGCCTCAAGTGATCCACCTGCCTTAGCTTCCCAAAGTGCTGGGATTATAGGTGTGAGCCACCATGCCTGGTCTAAAAGTCTATTTTAAAATCTGTGAGTATGTCTTATAACTAAATTATGCTACATTCATTTTTTTCCCCCTCTTCATTTTTTTTTTTTTTTTTGAGACGGCTTCTCACTCTGTTGCCCAAGCTGGAGTGCAGTGGCACAATCTCAACTCACTACAATCTCCGCCTCCCAGGTTCAAGCAATTCTCGTGCCTTGGCTTCCTGAGTAGCTGGGATTACAGGCACGTGCTACCACACCCAGCTAATTTTTGTATTTTTAGTAGAGATGGGGTTTCATCATGTTGGCCAGGCTGGTCTCAAACTCCTGGTCTCAAGTGATCTGCCTGCCTCGGCCTCCCAAAGTGCTGGGATTACAGATGTGAGCCACTACACCCAGCCCTTCTCTTCATTTTTAAAGTCTCTATTACTATCTTTGAATTCACTAATTTTTTCTTCTGCAGTGTCTAATCTGCTGTTAATCCCAGCCAATATATTTTTCATCTAAAACACTGTATTCTTCATCACTAGAAGTTTGATTTGGGTCTTTTTTATACCTTCCATATCTCTTCTTACCATTCTCATGTTCTCTAACATCCTGAACATACAGAGTACATTTATAATTGTTGTCCTAACATCTTTGTCTACTAATTCTTTTTTTTCTTTTTTGATAAGAGTCTCGCTCTGTCACCCAGGCTGTAGTGAAATGGCACGATCTCAGCTCGCTGCAACCTTTACCTCCTGGGTTCAAGTCATTCTTGTACCTCAGCCTCCCAAGTAGCTGGGACTACAGGCGTGTGCCACCAGGCCTGGCTAATTTTTGTGTTTTTAGTAGAGATGGGTTTCGCCATGTTGGCTGTGCTGATCTCGAACTCCTGGGCTCAAGTGATCTGCCCACCTGAGCCTCCCAAAGTGCTAGCATTACAGGCAGGAGCTACCGCACCCAACCCTTTGTCTATTAATTCTACCAACTGGGTTATTTCTGGGTATGTTTCCATTCTGTGATTTTTCTCCATTTTATGGGTCATATTTTCCTTTGCATCCCTGGTAATTTCTGCCAGGGACTATGAATTTTGCTTTGCCAGACATTGTGAATTTTGCTTTGTTTTGGGTGCTGGATTTTTTCTTTTTTTTTTTTTTTTGTATTCCCTCAAATATTTAAGGGTTTGTTCTGAAATATACTTCATTAACTTGGAAATAGTTTAATCTCTTCAAAATTTGCTTTTAAACTTTGTTAGGCTGGTCTAGAACAGCTGTTAGTCTAGATTTTTCTTTTCTTTTCTTTTCTTTTTGCCTCTGGTTCCAGTTCTTGTGATAGAATTAATTTGATCCCATTACTGTGGACTCTATTCAATGCCTGTCATGTTAAGAGGTATTTCCATACAGACTGGTGAGAACATGAATGTTCTCTGTGTGAGCTCTGGAAACTGTTCTGTCTGCTGCTTTCCAGTGATTTTTTCCCTGACTTCCAGTAGTCTCCTCACACAAAAGGGCTGATCAACGCTCAGCTGCTGACTCATGAGCAAGTCTATGCAGCTCCCCAGAGAGTTCTCTCTGTGCAGATCTTTCCTCTCCAGTACTCTGACCTGCAAAATTATCGCCATCTCAGCCTCCTTGAAAGATGAACTTTGTTTCTTCAACTCAACAACATCTCCAGCCTCTGTGTGCAGCCTGGAAATTCCATCCAGGCAGTAAGGTGGAGTGCTCTTAGGGCCCATCTCATTTGTTTCCTTTCTTTCAGGGATCATTATCAGCAAGGCTTGCTGTCCAACGTCTGAAAACCACTGTTTTATATATTTTGTCTGCTTTTTTTGACAGGAGGGTAAATCTAGTCCCTGTTACAGCTTTTTGGCTGGAGGCAGAAATCTTGTTTGTGATTTTTAAGAATTACTCTCTTAAATTTAATTTTGTTTTATAATTATGTAAAATACAAAGCTCTGAAGTTAAAACAAGGTACAGTAATATTCTATATAACATTTTGGTCAGTGATGAACCACATATATGACAGTGGTCCCATAAAATAATACATTTTAGTTGTACCTTTTCTGTGTTTAGTTAAACAAACACTAGGTGTTACATTACAACTGCCTACATTATTCAGTACACAATATGCTGTACAGGTGTGCAGCCTAGGAGCAATAGGCTATACTATATAACTGCGATGTTAGTAGGCTACACTATCTAGGTTTGTGTAAGTGCACTCTGTGATGTTTGCACAATGATGGTATCACCTAATGACGCATTTCTCAGAATGTATCCCTATCATTAAGTGATGCATTCAGAAAAGTCTAGGGTCTAACCCTTTGCTTTTCCCTACACACTCACTGAGGTAAACATTAAAAAAAAAAATTTCCCCCTCCACCCCTTTTAAGTTTTTATTATTTCCATACTATTGTTTTTATTATTAACATAAACAAGTATATACATCCACTTACATCTCTACTTTCTTCTTAGGTGATTAGCAGCATACTACAAAATTCTCTCAAACTACTGTTTTACTTAGTAATTTATCCTGAAGATCACTCCATACAAGTATATAGAGATAGTCTTCATTGCCTATCTTTTGAATTTATAACTTAAAAGAAGGAATTAAAAATGTAAAAACATTATCACTGATATTTTCAAGGTCTTTACTTACGCCATGCTGAAAGAGGGTTTTGCATCCTGGTCAGATAAAGAAGCAATGGTGTGCTGAGGAAATCCTTCATAGAAGAAAATGTATTACTTTCTTTTTCCAAGCAAACAGCAGAATTCTAGGACTAAGAACCTAAAAATGTTCTTCTCAAAAAGCCAATGAAGTTGTACAAAATATCACTTTACTGCCTTTCAGATAAGCTTATTATAGCATGATGAAACTGACTAATTCCAAGCTACAAGAAAAAGTAGAGGAAACGGGGGAAAGACCTGTCTATATATGACCTCAGATTCTGAAGTTCATATATATATTTTTCTTTTTTTTTTTTCTTGAGATGGAGTCTTGTTCTGTCACCCAGGCTGGGGTGCAGTGGCATGATCTTGGCTCACTGCATCCTCCACTGCCTGGGTTCAAGCGATTCTCCCACCTCACCTTCCCATGTAGCTGGGATTACAGGCATCTGCCACCATGCCCAGCTATATATTTTCTAACTTAATGATTAACACTACTTTTTAAAGAGGTTGTAATTTTTACATCATTTCTGATAAAACTGAAGATATCATAGTACACCTTCATTTTATCTACGTTTATGCTTTTATGTTTAAAATTTTGAAATGCTCAAATCTTTCATGTAATTTGTTTTCCATATACAATTTTAAATTCTGAAAACATGTTCAGGAAAAGCAGAAACCATTTTTAAAAAGATATATTACATAAAAAATGTAAATGTATCTACATATCAAAACAAATAAATAAAAGTAAAGGCAAATAACCAACAAGAAAAATATTTGCATCGGGTGACTGAGAAGGGTTAACATTCCTAAAGGACTCTAATAAATAAATTATAAATTTAAATAACTTTAAAATGAAATAAGAAAATATATCAGTAAATCAAAAAGATTAGCCAAACATAAGATCTAAAATATATTGAATGTTTACATCAAGCATTATTCTAAACGCATCATCTGTATTAACTCAATCCTTGAAACACACAATAAGGTTGATAGTTACTGACATCATTAAACACATGAGAAGACCGTGGAAAAGAGAGGTCGACTGGTAATATAAAAGGCCAAAAGTAGAAAAGCATTTTATTTCATTAACATTTAAAAACATACATATTAAATAAGGAGATTATTTTTCTATTAAAAGTTATACTTTTTTCAATATAAATGTAATAAATTTTCATTGTAACATTTTTGTAAAATAGAAGAAAATAACATTTTAAAAAAGTGATCCAAGGCCGGGCACAGTGGCTCAAGCCTGTAATCCCAGCACTCTGGGAGGCCGAGGCGGGCGGATCATGAGGTCAGAAGTTCAAGACAAGCCTGGCCAACATGGTGAAACCCTGTCTCTACTAAAAATACAAAAATTAGCTGGGCATGGTGGTGCCCGCCTGTAATCCCAGCTACTCGGGAGGCTGAGGCAGGAGAATTGCTTGAACCTGGGAAGCGGAGGTTGCAGTGTGAGCTGAGATCGCACCACTGCACTTCCAGCCTAGGAAATAGAATGAGACTCCATCTCAAAAAAAAAAAGAAAAAAAAAAGTGATCCAAAACCAATAATTTCCCCTCCTTTGAGCAATTTGGTGTACTTCCCTGCAAGCTTTGTCTTTGCACAGTTTGTATTACACAGCTTTGATCATCCAGTACAGAGAATTTTGTAGCTTATTTTATTTTTATTTTATTTTATTTTTTTGAGACAGAGTCTTGCTCTGTCACCCAGACTGGAGTGCAGTGGCGCAATCTCAGCTCATGGCAACCTCCGCTTCCTGAGTTCAGGCAATTCTCCTGTCTCAACCTCCTGAGTAGCTGGGATTACAGATGTCTGCCACCATGCCCAGCCATTTTTTGGTAATTTTTAGTAGAGACAGGGTTTCGCCATGTTGGCTAGGGTGGTCTCAAACTCCTGACCTCAGGTGATCCGCTAGCCTCGGCCTCCCAAAGTGCTAGGATTACAGGCATGAGCCACCACGCCCGGCCTTTGTAGCTTATTTTAAAAAATTTTTAATATAAGTGTTTTTCTTTTGTTTTCTTTTTTGAGACAGAGTCTCGCTCTGTCGCCCAGGCTAGAGTGCAGTGGTGTGATCTCGGCTCATTGCCAGCTCTGCCTCCCGGGTTCATGCCATTCTCCTGCCTCAGCCTCCCGAGGAGCTGGGATTACAGGCGCCCGCCACCACGCCTGGCTAATTTTTTGTATTTTTAGTAGAGATGGGGTTTCACCGTGTTAGCCAGGATGGTCTCGATCTCCTGACCTCAAGATCCGCCCACCTCGGCCTCCCAAAGTGCTGGGATTACAGGTGTGAGCCACCGAGCCCGGCTTAATATAAGTATTTTTCTATAAACACAGTTTATACCTTTCTAGCCTTAAAAATAAAGAAAGCCAACAGTATTTTCTGGGTGACAGGACTACTGGTAGTTTTAATTTTTTTTTTCCACTTCTCTGTACTTTCCAAAATTGCTTCAACAAGCATATTTTTTCTTTAAAAATTCTTAAATATTAAAATAACTTGTGCAAATGAAAATAGAGAGCCTAGATATGTATTTTTTAAAAACATAAAAACACTTACCCATACGAATAAGTGAGCATTCAGAACTTGAGCTAGCAGGAGGAGGACTAAGATGATGTGTGAGCAACTCTTTGTAATGGCTTTCATCTAAAATAACATGGTACGTGCCTAACAAGATGAAAAGGGAAAAAAAAACACCTTCATAGACATAACGAACTGTACGTTCTATGTAATTCTGTAAAAGTTGTATCATCTGAAAATGTACATTTTTAAAATAATGATTTTAGCTAAATTATCACTTTTAAAACCTTATTTAAGTAATATATCTAAATCAACTTCTCTAGGAATAACTATAATTACAATTGATTATTATTACTATTATTATTATTTTAACATATAAATAGAGACAGGTCTCACTATGTTAACCAGACTGATCTCAAACTTCTGGCCTCAAGTGATTCTCCTGCCTTGGCCTACCAAAATGTTGAGATTACAGGCATGAGCTATCATGCCTGGCCTGTAATTACAATTTAATTAAAGACAAGTTATAAAATCTTTATAAAGAATTACATACAGTAAAATTTCCAGCTTTCCAAGAGTTATAATACCTCCTCTAAATACTGACATAAGTACTGAAAACTCTTTGCATTTGGAGATGATTTCTTATGGAATCAATGATATATTTAAGATGACTGCCCATATTTTAGACTACTTTAAGTTTAGTAGCTCAGAACAGATTAAAACATCCTAATTTAATTAATAAATTATTTCCTACACAGTAATTATAAGCAAATATTAAATAAATTATATATATACCACCAGTTTCACGAGCAAGTACAGTGCAAACGCGAACTTCTGCAGACAATCCAATAACAGATACTCTAATTTTAGCTGCCTTTAGGGTCTTCATAAAATCCAAGTAGATAGATAGTTTTAGGAAAGAAGAAAAACATTTAAGATTTAATGTATTTGAAAAATAAAGAATGCTCTGAAAACTAGTAATAAATTCAATACATCTACCACAAAGATGAATCACACATACAAAAATACATATATATATAAATCAATTTGCTACAGAATTCTCTTTACAGTTATAACTTTGGTTTTGATTTTTTGGTCTACCTTGATTAAATCATAAATATTAGATGGATCGCAAGTTGTAAGGCTGCTAAAGATGATTAGTACTTCTCGACTTGTATGTCCAGGCATGTGTCTTAAAAGAAAGATAAAATACACTCCAATTAGGTACAACAAATTATACTACCAAAAAATTTACCCAGAAAGAACAGTAAACATAGGATTACACATTTAGACTATAGAATATCTCATTTGTTTCAACAATGCAAAGAAAGGTTGTGAGTATATTTTAAACACTTTAATGCAAATTTTTCTAAAATGAGCTATGCACTTCAAAAAATTGTTAATTGATTCATTTAATATTTACCAAGTACTCTCAAGTTCTGGGGGTAGAGTGATAAACAAGACTGACAATGTTCCCGACATCATTAAGCTTACATTCTAGTAGGTTTGTTTCATACAAAGTCTAGAGTATACAATAAAAAATACAACAATATATGGATAAACTTTAAACTAAAATGTGGCAATATCATATGGATCAGCTTTAAAGTGCAGAGATGTGGCTTCAAAACAGTAACACACACTTCTTTCTCAAAGACTATAGTAGTCCCCTCTTATCTGCAGAGGATACATTCCAAGACCCCCAGTGGATACCTGAAATCAAGGATAGTACTGAACCCTATATATACAGTCGTTCTTCGGTATCCTTGGGGGATTGATTTCAGGCCCTCCTATGGATACCAAAATCTGCAGATGTTCAAGTCCCAGATACAAAAGGGCGTAGTATTTGCATATAACCTATGTACATCCTCCCATATATTTTAAGTCATCTCTAGATTATTGATAATACCTAATACAATGTATACTATGTAAGTAATTGTTATCCTCTATTATTTAGGGGATAATGGCAAGAAAAAATGTCTATTTGTTCAGTACAGGTACAATTTTTTTCCAAAAATTTTTGATGCGTGGTTGATCGAATTCACAGAAGCAGAACCCAGGATTCAGAGGGCTGATTATACCATGTTTTTCCCTATACAGGCATACCTTGGAGATACTGCAGGGTTGGATTCCAGACCGCAGCAATAAAGCAAATATCACAATAAATATTTGCAATAAAGCAAGTCACATGAACTTTCAGGTTTCCTAGTGTATATAAAAGTTCTGTTTACGGCCAGGGATGGTGACTCACGCCTGTATTCCCAGCACTTTGGGAGGCTGAAGCGGGCACATCACGAGGTCAGGAGATCGAGACCATCCTGGCTAACACGGTGAAACCCCGTCTCTACTAAAAATACAAAAAAATGAGCCGGACGTGGTGGCAGGAGAATGGTGTGAACCCAGGAGGCGGAGCTTACAGTGAGCCAAGATTGCGCCACTGCACTCCAGCCTGGGCGACAGAGCGAGACTCCGTCTCAAAAAAAAAAAAAGAAAGAAAAAGAAAAGTTCTGTTTACACTATACTGTAGTCTAGTAAGTGTGCAACAGCATTATATCTAAAAAAAAAAGTACACACCTTTATGAAAAATACTTTATTGCTAAAAATCGACTGAACTGTCAGTGAATAATATCTTTTTGTTGAAGGAGAGTCTTGCCTTGATATTGATGGCTGCTGACTGATCAGAGTGGTGCTTTCTGAAGGGTGAGGTGGCTATGGCAATTTCTTAAAATAAGACAAAGTAGTTTGTTACATGGGTCAACTCTTCCTTTCATGAAAGGAATGCAAATGCTGTTTGGTAGCATTTTATTCATAGTAGTACCTCTTTCAAAATGGGAGTCATTCCTTTGAAACCCCACTGATGCTTTACCAACTAAGTTTATGGGCTATTCTTTTTTTGTTTTGAGACTGATTCTTGCTCTGACACCCAGGCTGGAGTGCAGTGGTGCGATCTCGGCTCACTGCAACCTCTGCCTCCTGGGTTCAAGCAATTCTCCTGCCTTAGCCTCCCCAGTAGCTGGGATTACAGGCATGCACCACCATGCCCAGATAATTTTTGTATTTTTAGTGAGGACGGGTTTCACCATGTTGGCCAGACTAGTCTTGAACTCCTGACCTCAAGTGATCCATCCGCCTCGGCCTCCCAATGTGCTGGGATTACAGGCATGAGCCACCATGCCCAGCCAGTGTAGATATTTTGACCTCTTTCTATGAATGGCATTTAGAATGGTGAATTCTTTCCAGAAGGTTTTCAATGTACTTTGCTCAGATCCATCTATGGCAGTCACAGCCTTATGATATGTATTTCTTAAATAATCAAGACGTGAAAGTTCAAAGTATTCCTTTATCCAAGGGTTGCAGAATGAGTGCTATGTTAGTAGATATGAAAATAACATTAATCTTCTTGTACATCTCAATTAGAGCTCTTGGGTGACTGGGTGCATTGTCAATGAGCAATAATATTTTGAAATAAATCTTTTTTCTGAGATATATCTCAACAATGGGCTTAAAATATTCAGTAAGCCCATGCTGTAAACAGATGTGCTGTTATCTGGGCTTTGTTATTCCATTTGCAGAGCACAGACTGAATAGATTTAGAATAATTCTTAAGGACTCTAGGATTTTCAGAATGGTAACAAACATTGGTGCCAACATCAAGTCACCAGCTGTATTAGCCCCTAACAAGAGAAGAAGCCTATCCCATGAAGCTCTGAAACCAGGCATTCACTTCTTCTAGCTATGAAAATCCTAGATGGCATCTCCTTCCAACAGAAGGCTGTTTCATTTACATTGAAAATATGAGGCCAGGTGCAGTGGCTCATGCTTGTAATCCCAGCACTTTGGGAGGCAGAGGCGGAGGACTGCTTGAGCCCAGGAGTTCAAGACCAGCTGGGCAATGTGGCGAAACCCTACCTCTACAACAACAACAACAACAAAAATTAGCTGGGTGTGGTGGCACATGCCTGTAGTCCCTGCTACTTGTGGGGCTGGGAGAATAGCTTGAGCCTGGGAGTTTGAGGCTGCAGTGATCCATGATTGCACCACTGCACTCTAACCTGGGTGACAGAGCGAGACCCTCTCTCAAAAACAAAAAAGAAAAAGAAAATTTGATATTTAGTGTAGTCACCTTCATCAATTATTTTAGCTAGATCTTCTGGATAACTTGCTGCAGCTTCTACATCAGCACTTGCTGCTTCCTCTTGCACTTTTTTTTTTTTTATTTTGAGACGGAGTCTCACAGTGTCGTCTGGGCTAAAGTGCAATGGCGCGATCTCGGCTCACTGCAACCTCTGCCTCCTGGGTTCATGCGATTCTCCTGCCTCAGCCTCCCGAGTAGCTGGGATTATAGGCGCACACCACCACACCTGGCTAATTTTTTGTATTTTTAGTAGAGACAGCGTTTCACTATGTTGGCCAGACTGGTCTTGAACTCCTGACCTCATGATCTGCCCACCTTGGCCTCCCAAAGTGCTGGGATGACAGGCGTGAGCCACCGCGCCCAGCCCCTCTTACACTTTTATGTTTTGGAGATGGCTTCTTTCATTAACCTCATGAGCTCAGCTCTGTTAGCTTCAAACTTTTCTTCTGCAGCTTCCTCACTGCTCTCAGCCTTCATAGAATTGAAGAGAATTAGAGCCTTGCTTTGGATTAGGATTTGACTTAATGGACTGTTGTGGCTACTTTAATCTTCTATCTAGACCATTAAAACTTTGTCTGTATCAGCAATAAAGCTGTTTCACTTTCTTATCATTCATGTGTCCACTGAAGCAGCACTTTGAATTT
Organism: Homo sapiens; assembly: GCF_000001405.40. Taxonomy (NCBI): domain Eukaryota; kingdom Metazoa; phylum Chordata; class Mammalia; order Primates; family Hominidae; genus Homo; species Homo sapiens. Next base: position 983,004 of record NW_003315917.2, read on the forward strand.
CCATTATTTTTTTCTTATTTTGAGACAGGATCTTGCTCTATCATACAAGCTGGAGTACAGTAGCACAATCGTAGCTCACTGCAGCCTCAAACTACTGGGCTCAATCCTCCTGCCTCAGCCTCCTGAGAAGTTAGGGACTACATACAGGTGCTCGCCACTGTGCCTGGCTAATTTTTTTTTTTTTTTTTTTTTTTTGTAGAGATGGAGGTCTTGCTATGTTACCAGGACTGGTCTCAAACTCATGGCCTCAGGTGATCCTCCCATCTTAGCCTCCCAAAGTGTTGCAGTTACAGGTAAGAGCCACCACGCACAGCCCAGCACTTTCAATTTCCTTCAAGAACTTTACCTTTGCATTCACAATGTGACTAAGTGTTTAGCACAAGAGACCTAGCCTTCAGCCAGTCTTGCATTTTGACATGCCTTCCTCACTAAGCTCAATCATTTCTAGCTTTTGATTTAAAGTGAGACATGCGACTCCTCCTTACTCTTGAACACTCAGAGGCCACTGGAGGGTTATTATTGGTGTAACTTGAATATTTTTGTGTCTTAGGAGATGGGGGGGCCGAACAGAGGGAGAGAGACTGGAAAACAGCCAGTTGGTGGAGCAGTCAGAACACACGTAACACTTATCAATTAAGTCTGTTGTCTTATATGGGCGCAGTTTGTGGTGCCCTAAAATAATTACAATAGTAACATCAAAGATCACTGATCACAGATCACCATAACAGATATAACAATAATTTACAAAGCTTGAAATATTGCAAGAACTACCAAAGTGTGATATAGAGGCAAGAAGTGAGCACATGCTGTTAAAAAAAAATGGCACCAACAGACTTGCTCAACAGAGTTGCCATAAACTGTCAGTTTGTAAAAAAAAAAGTTATCTGAAAAGTGCAATAAAAGTGCAACAAAATGAGGTGTGCCTTACATACACACCTATGATCAATAATGTATAAATTAGGCACAATAAGAGATTAACAACAATAACTAATAATGGAACATTTATAACAACGTGCCGGCATCACTACTCCTGCACTTTGAGGTCATTATTAAGTAAAATAACACAAACACTGCAATAGTTTTGACAGTCAATAACAACAGTTAATCTGATGACTTAGGCCATTACATGGGTGGGCAGCATATACTGTGAGGATCTACAGGACCAAGGGATGATTCACGTCCTGGGCAGGACAGAGAGGGAAGGTGTAGGATCTCATCACGCTACCCAGAATGGCACACAACTTAAATCTTATGAATTATTTATTACTGAAGTTTTCAATTTAATATTTTCAGACCAAGAGTAACTAAAACTGGAAAGTGAAACTGCAGATAAGGGGGGATTACTATAATTTAACCTCACAGTAATTCAGAGTCATAATAATCATGAACATTAATATTGCATACCATTTAATTAAAATGATAGCTTGTAGAGTTTTAAGTTGTGGTGACCAGTTTTCACCTACACTAAATAGACGTTTTTATGCTTTCTGCAGCAATTTTATCAATTAGTTATAGCTTTCCTGCTTATATTTTCATTGTTATCGTCTCAGCTCTCACTGGTAGACCCTACTACTGTACTTACCTCTATTACATGTGTTGCCTCCTTCTCATCCACTTCAAAACTAGAAAAATATCTATTATATAAAGGTATAAGTCTGAGCCAGGGCAGACTATCCAGAGATAAAATATATAAGCTTTAGGGAGGCTGAGGTGGGCGGATCGCTTGAGGCCAGGAGTTCAAGACCAGCCTGGCTAACATGATGAAACCCCATCTGTACTAAAAATACAAAAATTGGCTGGGCATGGTGGCACACACCTGTAATCCCAGCACTAGGGAGGCTGAGGCACAAGAATCACTTGAACCCAGAGGTGGAGGTTGTAGTGAGCTGAGATCACGCCACTGCATGCCAGCCTGGGTGACAGAGCAAGACTCTGTCTCGAAAAAATATATATATATACGTGTGTGTGTGTGTGTGTGTGTGTGTGTGTGTGTGTGTGTATATAATAGATATATAAGCTTTAACTTATATATGTAAGTTTAACATATATATAAGCTTTATATATATGTATAATAAATTATATATATAATATGTATATAAAGCTTATATATATATATAAGCTTTAACTATACCAAGTATTTCCTTTGGGGTCTTAGCTCTATTCCATATAGCTGAACTTGCCATATCTATTAATTTACAGATATATGACATTGGTGCAAAAGGAATTGTGGTTTTGGCCATTACTTTCAAAATAAATTAATAAATGTTAATAAAGGTACAACCAACTTACAATTATTATACTATATTAAATCTCATTTTAATAAAATATTTTTTCATCAACCTATTTTTGTACTATTGATACTGCCGACAGTTTTAAATTATATTTTTATAAAACCTTTAACAATATCTTACTAAAATGTAAAATAAAAATTACTAACCAACACCACACTAAACATCATAAATAACACTACATAATTCTCGTACTTAACAATTTTGTTATAGCTGGGTTTATGGGCCCCATATTAACACATCACTTCAACTTAACTCATTTAAAAAACTTCTAATTCAATTATACATAATGTATAATACTAACTTTAGAGTCTGCATAGCCATGCTTAGGGAATTATAAAGAGATGGCTCTCCATGGCAGGTCATATCCACAGCTTCCTTCAAAGACGTTATATGTTTTCTTGGGTTTCCTAAAATAGAAATAAGATCTTTAAATAAAATCCTATATATTAAAAAAGTTTATGTTTCTCTCAAAATTTACATATCTATGATGTTAAAGAACAGAATCCTTTCAATGTATATTTCTGTTGGAATTTTATCTGCAATATTTTGTAAACACTCTCACTTCATACTGAAAAACAGAATACAAATAATCTCCTTATAGACTAGCATACATATTTTAAAATAATGCTAACCTAGAGTGCATTTTTTTACTCTTAATATTTCCATATTTCATCATTTTTAAGACCAATACATTTTCACATTTAACATCTCTGAAATCAGCATGTGTTTAATAATTACTGGTAGCCAGCAGCACTTGTAACATAGTCTTTGCCTGTTCATATGTGAACCTACAAATAGGTCTTCATATGTTGTTGCTTCAATTGCATTATGTACATTGTCCTCTTCATGGTGAGTTTAACTGCCATTTAAAATGTTTTTAAGGCCAGGCGCGGTGGCTCACGCCTGTAATCCCAGCACTCTGGGAGACCACGGCAGGCAGATAACCTGAGGTCAGGAGTTTAAGACACACCTGGTCAACATGGTGTAAATCCCATCTGTAGTAAAAATGCAAAAATTAGCTGGGTATGGTGGCATACACCTGTAATCCCAGCCACTAGGGAGGCTGAGGCACAAGAATCACTTAAACCCAGAAGGTGGAGGTTGCAGTGAGCTGAGATTGCACCACCGCACTCCAGCCTGGGCAACAACAGCGAAACTCCATCTCAAAAAACAAACAATAAAATGTTTTTAGAAATGTTGTTAATACAAAAGGCTATATTTTTATGTAGAAAGGTGTGGAACACAGCAGTGAGGCATAAATTTATTATAATGAATCAAATATTGATGGAAGAATGCATGCAATTCCGTATTTTTCTTGAGGGAAGAAATCAAGAACTTTACAAGACCTAAGAAACGAATATTCCCACAAACAGACGAAGCTGTGTTATCTTACCAAATAGCATCTGAAAAGATTGTCTATCTTATGCTAAGCAATTCAAATGAAGGGGGGAGAAGCTGCCAAATCCTTTTTTTTCTTTTTAATATAATATTTTTTTATATTATTTATATTTAGATTATATATATATCTGTTGCCAGGCTGGAGTGCAATGGGGCAATTTTGGCTCAATGCAACTTCCACCTCCCAGGCTCAAACCATCCTCCCACCTCAACCTCCCAAGTAGCTGGGACTACAAGTGCCCAGCACCACACTTGGCTAAATTTTTTTGTATATTTTTGGTAGAGACAGGGTTTCACCATGTTGTCCAGGCTAGTCCTGAACTCCTGGATTCAAGCAATCCTCCCGCCTCAGCCTCTCAAAGTGCTGGGAGTACAGGTGTAAGTCACCACACCTGGCCCCCAAATTTGAGATGTCTGTACATGTCAAATTACCAAGAAGCTAGTATAGCCAACTCATATATCATTTGATACTGTGTCAAAGTTTAACTACTAGGACTTTTCCTTCTTAATGGCTTATAAAAGTATCTTGTAATTGATGGAATCTGAGTTTCAATGAAATATAGTATTCCGTAAACATTTTCCATTTCAGCACTGTCTTCGTATCAATCAATAACCTAAGTATCATTAAATTGATTTTGTCATAAAATATAATCCATCAAAGCATACTATTAAACATTTAATTTTTAATCTGTCACTATTATACATAATGTTACAAAGAGTATCTTTGTAGAGTGATCATTCTCCTTCCATAACATTCCCTAAATATAATTTCAGGAACAATTTTTATGCTTTTCTAAAAAATATTGAACTAATTTGTAAGACTATCAGCACTATAAATAACAGTTTCTCTGTGGTTCCACAAGCAACATATTGCTTTGGAAACTTAATTTTGCTCATTTAAAATATATTAAAAAATAAAATGTTATGTAATTGGGTAGAGTGTTTTTGGATTACTAGTTTCCCTGATTTAATTTCTGGGTTTTTTCTGTGTGAATCATGTCTTCTTTGTCTATTCATCAACTTGGAGCTCCCTTGAGTTTTTACTCATCTGAGTAAGTTTTAAAATATTAACCATTTGTAATATTTAATATTTACTGCAAGTATTTTAGATTCATAAATTTTAGAGATGAAAAGTACCTCGCTAAGCAGTCCAAATCCCTCACTTCATAAGTGAGAAAATTAATCTAAACAAGTGAAATGACTTGCCCAAAGACATATGCCTGCTTAACTGCAGGACCAGCAGCACCCAAACCTAGATCTCCTGGCTCTCTATCCACTTCTCTTCCTACCCTACAAAATTATTTTTAATCTCCCACTGTGTTATGGGTATAGGAAAAAAGCATACTACAATAGTGTCAGTGTGGTTTACAGCAGTGGTCTGATTGGAGGGAAAAAAAGGTGGCTTCAAGAGGCCTGTCAGAATCTCCAGAATATTTTTCATCTTTATACATGACTTCACTAACATCCATAGAAAACTGCTGGGGCCGGGCATGGTGGCTGATGCCTGTAATCCCAACACTTTGGGAGGCTGAGGTGGGTAGATCACCTGAGGTCAGGAGTTCGAGATCAGCCTGGCCAGCATGGTGAAATCCTGTCTCTACTAAAAATAAAATTAGCCAGGTGTGGCAGCGCACACCTGTAATCCCAGCTACTCGGGAGGGGGAGGCAGGAGAATCTCTTGAACCCGGGAGGCGGAGGTTGCAGTGAGCCAAGACAGCACCGCCTGGGCGACAGAGTGAGAGACTCCTTCTCAAAAAAAAAAAAAAAGAAGCAATAGAAAACTGCTGGTAACTCGGGGTGGGTAAAGTGAGAGGAAAATATTGACCTTATATTCCTACCTTGGAGGAACCATCCTTCTTCCACTATATAATAATCCTGCTTAGTTCATGTGGTGCTGACCCTACTTCTATCCTGCTCTGGGCATCAGCAGGCAATCGAAGCGTACAAACAAAATACTTCATTTCCTGGCCACTTTGTTCATGGATGGGCAGATCGTAACTCAGGCCAATCAGAGTTCTCCCTAGACGTGTGCTGAAGCTATAGGCTACGGGTACAATGTAGAACTGGGACAATTAAGAGACATCTTTTCAACTTCCAGAAAATCTATCAGAGAATGAAGCCAGACAAAGCCAGGACCCCAACATATGCAGCAACTATATATGGAATTGGCCCACCTTTGAACATAGCCCAAAATTTTCCTTCTGCACTTAAGCTAGTGTGACATTCTTTTGGTTACTCACAACTGAGTTTCTTGAATCACTCCAGGCCAATGTACATTTCACTCCTCACTGCATTTAATGAAAAACTACTAATGAAGAAAGTATGTCATTTCCCTTATGTGTGCCGGCAAGGATAAAAGGTTGAAAACCAGATTTAAGGGAGAGTGTATTTCACAGAAAATAAAATAGAATCAGTGATGCAAATTTGTAACAGCATATATACCAAAGCAAATAAAAAATGCCATTACTACGTTTTGAAACTAAAATTCAGTTAGGTATGTCATGGAAGCAGAAAAATTGATTCATTAGCAATAGCTACAGTTTAATTTTTATACTTTTTCCCTTTTAAATTAGATGCTTAACTTTTTAAGAATTTAATTTTAAGATTAACTGGATTTTATAAATGATTACAATAACTGTATTTTAATATTTTCAGGATAAGGCCGGATGCGGTGGCTCAAGCCTGTAATCCCAGCACTTTGAGAGGCTGAGGCGGGCTGATCACAAGGTCAAGAGATTGAGACCATACTGGCCAACATGGTGAAACCCCGTATCTACTAAAATACAAAAAATTAGCAGGGCGTGGTGGCGGGCATCTGTAGTTCCAGCTACTCAGGAGGCTGAGGCAGGGAATCGCTTGAACCCGTGAGGCGGACTTTGCAGTGATCCGAAATTGTGCCACTGCACTCTAGCCTGGCGACAGAGCAAGACTCCATCTCCAAAAAAAAAAAAAAAAAAAAAAAAAGGAAAGAAAAAAAAATTTCAGGATAAGCACATATAGAATTTAAATAAAAACATTTATATTCAATGTAGTATTATTTACCACTATGATGCAGAACTCAATTTAGAATAGTTAACCTTGTATCCTAAGAATATAATGGTGGGGGAGATGTTATTAAATTGTTTCACCTAGAGAAGACAGAGGAACCACCCTTCACGTTACTTATTAAGCAGCCATATAAACAGGGCTACGAGGTTGGGTAAATAAAGCAAAGTCCTTGAGTCATGTAAAGGTAATTTTATGCATACCTGAAAGTTCAGTCAATTTTTCAGCTCTTTTACTCTTAGTTACAATTATTCCAATCTTGAAATAAAAACAAAAATTATTATTAATATAACAAGTTATTTCCTCCCATTAAGAATATATATAACTATTCCTGTAGATGATATTGGAGCAGAAAAAAAAATAATTTATATAGCTAAAATAAACTAGTAATTACAAAAGAAAGAAGCAACAGGTGAGAAACTTTTTCTCATGCTGTTTTTGGCAAATAAATTTAGCTATGAGTTCACATTACGTTTAACTTTTAGAGTTATTACGCTTTTCATTTTTAAGTATACCAGAAACTGGTTAAACAATTTGGGTAATTCACAAAATACATGTCCAATTTTTAAAAATAAATTACATTTGGAAGCAAAATAGGAATCTAATTCTGAATTCTATCACTTAGATACGTACCTGACTAATAGGATTTTGATCAAAATATTCCTCTACAAAGTATTCCAACAACTGTTTAAACAAAAAAAGACATACTAGATAAAGGCAAAATAACAATCATAAAGAACATGTCCAACTGATGTTTGTGAAACCTGTTAATCAAGCGTCACTTCTCATGACTTTTAAACTTACAGATTTTCAAAAACTGTTAAGTAATAAAAATATTAAACAGTAAAAACGTTAATTTGAAATGGTGGGTGATGAGATAGGTTTGAGCTAGGTTTTAAAAGATGGAACCATTTGGATGTGTCAGAAGAAATTTCAATGAGGAAAAGATCCAATGAAGAGAGATGGGAGAACGAGCAGAATTGAGAATAGGTTTTGATAAATTAGGAATACGAACATATTTGTAATCTGAGGAGACAGAGTTAAGTAAGGCAAAGGAGAATGAAGATTCAAGAAAGAAAAGGGATAACTGATAAACCAAGATCCTGATGTGGGGTGGGAGGATAGAAATTAAAAACACAAATAATTAGCTATGTTGGTTTAAAATTTCCCTAAATAACCTGGCAGTACTTCTACTTAGCTATCATTAGCATTAACTAAAAATACAAGGCAAAAAATAAAAAATATTGCATTCTTTAAAAATATCCTTTAGAATCCAGTGTTCTTCCCCACTTTTTTAGTAAAAGTTTAAGTGATTTTGGTACAAATTTAAATGATTTAGTATAAACTTAAATTTTACCTTTAAAGTACACGTCAGTCTATTAGGCTTTAAATCTTGGTCTTCCATTGTTCTTGATCCATCTACTACCACATAAAGGTGGCGCATCTATCGGAAAAAAGAAAGGGCCAATTTCAAGTACTTGTTTTGTTTTGTAGAAACTGGGTCTCGTTCTGTTGCCCAGGTTGGTCTCAAACTCCTGGGCTCAAGCAATCCTCCTGCCTTGGCCTCCCAAAGTGCTGGGATTATAGGCATGAGCCACTGTGCCCAGCCTCAAGTGCCATTTTGACTAGTAAAAATGGCATTTAATAATTACATATTCTATGCACGTATTTTTAACATATTCTTTTAAAAACTTTGTTGTTTTGCTATTGTTTTTTCTAGCAAGACAGAATGTTTCTCTAACCTAAACTAGTTCTGTACTAGTAAAAGAAAAAATAATGACATACCATTCCAAGTCGAACTTGTCCATGGTGCTCAAATACTCTGTTAAAATTATACAAACATTTTAATGTAATTCCATATACTATCCCCCCACAAAAAAAAAATACAACTTTCCAATTGACCTCCTTTGTTTTTCTTTTTTTCTAATTCTGATTAAGAATGTCATAACGTGCATTTTTAGTGGAGTAAATAATTAACTTATGGAATACAATACACATAATTATAGGTATTGTAGACAGTCTCTAAAGACCATTTCCTGCTGGGGCAAGGGTAGGTGGCTAGTTCTTTCCCCATAGTCAGAAGGCAATAGGTCAGTTTCCCTGAAACACAGCTAAAATGAAGTACTGAGGAGTATTTATAGATAGAAAGGCTTAAAATGAATATATTTTACCTTTTTAAGATACGTAGGAAGGTTACATACCTTTTTCTCTTTGCCTTGAATAGAATGTCTTCTATTGTAGCTTTAAGTGATCCAGATTCATCTTCTTTAAGAATCTCCCTATAAGTCATAATTATTTGTTTGAAAAGACAAGCTAAAATGATTACTAGCCCAAATGAAATGAAAATATATGTCCACACAAAGATTTGCATGTAAGTGTTCATGGCTGCATTTTCCTAACAGTCAAAAACTGTAAAGAACCTAAATATCCACAGACTAGTGAATGGATAAACAATAATGTGGCATAACCATAGATGGGAATACTATTCAGCAATAAAAAAGGAATGAAGTATTAATACACACTGCAACATGGATGAGTCTTAAAAATAAGTGAAAGCCAGCCACAACAGACCAACTATTATAGTCATGCATCGCTTACTGACAGGGATACATTCTGAGAAATGCATTGTTAGGCAATTTCATTATTGTGTGAATATCACAGGGTATACTTACACAAACCTAGATGGTATAGCCTATCCCACGCCTAGGTTACAAACCTGTACAGCACGTTACTATACTGAATATCTTAAGACAACTGTAACACAATGTTCAGTATTTGTATATCTAAACATACATAGAAAAGGTAGAGTAAAAATACAGTATTATAATATTATGGGACCATTGTCATATATGCAGTCTGTCTTTGACCAAAACATCATTATGTGGCACATGATTGTATATGATCACATTTTTGTGAAATGTCCAGAAAAGGTTAAAATTTGGAGACAAAAAGTAGACTAATGATTGCCCACAGGTGGAATTAAATTAAGATTTAAATTAATTGTAAATGAATGTGAAGGATCTTACTGGAGTGGTTACAATATTCTAAAACTGGTTTATGATAATGGCTGCACAGCTCAGTAAATTATTAATAAAACATCACTGAATTGTACATTGGAAATGGGTGAATTTTAACATATGTAAAATATACTTTAATAAAGTTGTAAAGAAAAAAAAAGACATTGTCTAAAAGAAAAGACAGGGCAATAAAGCTCTCCTTACCATGTTCTTTCATAGCCTCCTTCCCATCGCTTAGTTCTTTCAGGTTCTTCATCCATTTTTTTCAAAACTGTATTTTATTATTCAATAATCTGTAAAAACCATTAGAATGTAAGTTATCTAAAGATGTTTGTTACAAAATTCATCCAATTAAATTTGAAAATTAGACACATATATAAAGTAAAAAAAATGGAATGCCAGGTCATCTTATTCTTTGTATTTTACTCAATAATTGTCTTAAAAATCTTCATAGAACTCCATTTCTCATTTCCAAGAAATAATATGAACTTATACACAAACTTGGTACCAATAAAAATAAGTGTCTTTTTACAATTTGTAAAAGAACAAAAATGCTTTATAGATGTGTCACATGACAAACTGTAGACTTGTGAGGAGTCAGTATGGGCGTAGTTGAACTATTATAGCTGAGTGACATGTGATTCATTGTACTATCTCTCTGTGTATGTCTCAATTTTCTCATAATCAAAAGTTTTTAAATCACATTTATTATTTATAAATGGGTAAATGCTATAGCTCATAATTCAAAAAAAAAGGACACAAAATTAAACATAGTTCTTTGAGACATCTCCAAACTGCTTTCCATAGTGGCTGAACTAATTTACATTCCTACCAACAGTGGATAAGCATTCCCTTTTCTTCACAACCTTGCCAACATCTGTTATTTTTTGACTTTTTAATAATATCCATTCTAACTGGTGGTGAGATGGGTTTGTGGTTTTGATTTACATTGTGGTTTTGGTTTGCATTTCTCTAATGATCAGTGATGTTGAACATTTTTTCATACATTTATTGGACACATGTATGTCGATCCAACAATCCCAATACTGGGTATAAACCCAAAGGAAAATAAAACCATTCTACCAAAAGTACAAGAGCACTCATATTAATCACAGCACTATCCAAAATAGCAAAGACATCAAATCAACTTAGATGCTCATAAATGGTGGACTGGATAAAGAAAATGTGGTACGTAATATATCATGGAATACTAGCAGCCAAAAAAACAACGAAAAAAAAACACAATGAAATCCTGTCTTTTGCAGCAACATGGATACAGCTGGAGGCCATTATCCTCATCGAATTAACACGAACAGAGGCCCAACGCAATGGCTCACGCCTGTAATCCTAGCACTTGGGAGGCCAAGGCAAGTGGATCACCTGAGGTCAGGAGTTTGAAACCAGCCTGGCCAACATGGTGAAACCCTGTCTCTACTAAAAATAGAAAAAAATTAGCCAGATGTGGTGGCGAGCACCTGTAATCCCATCTACTCAGGAGGCTGAGGCAGGAGAATTGCTTGAACCCGGAAGGCAGAGAGGTTGCAGTGAGCCGAGATCGTGCCACTGCACTCTGGCCTAAAAAAAACAGCAACAGAAAACCAAAGACGGCATGTTCTCATTTACGAGTGGAAACTAAACACTGAGTACACGTGGACATAACGATGAGAACAACAGACATTGGAGACTATTAGACAGGGAAGGATGGGAAAGAGTGAGGGTTGAAAAACTGCCTATCAGGTACTATGTTCACTACCAGGGTGACGGGATCATTTGTATACCAAACCTCAACAACAAGCAATTTATCCATGTAACCAACATGCACACGTACTCTGTGAAAATAAAAGTTGAAAACAAAACAAAACAAACAAACACAGGCCAGGGCCAGGTGCAGTGGCTCCATCCCTGTAATCCCTGCACTTTTGAGAGGACAAGGTGCGGATCACCTGAGGTCAGGAGTTCGAGACCAGTCAGGCCAACATGGCAACACCCGTCTCTACTAAAAATACATAAATTAGTTGGGCATGGTGGCAGGTGCCTGTAATCCCAGCTACTAGGGAGGCTGAGGCAGGAGAATTCCTTGAACCTGGAGGGCAGAAGCTGCAATGAGCCAAGGTCACACCACTTCACTCCAGCCTGGGTGACAGAGCAAGACTCCGTCTCAAAAAAAAAAACAAAAAAAAAAACCAGGCCGGGTATGATGGCTGACATCTGTAATTCTAGCACTTTGGGAGACTAAAGCAGGTGATCACTTGAGGTCAGGAGTTTGAAAATTAGCTAGGAGGTTGGTGGGAGCGGGCCCCTGTAATCCCAGCTACTGGGGAGGCTGAGACAAGAGGACTGCTTGAACCCAGGAGGCACGGAGGCTGCAGTGAGCCGAGATCAGGTCACTGCACTCCAGCCTGGGCAACAGAATGAGACCCTGCCTCAAAAAAGAAAGAAAAGAAAGGAAAGAAAGAGAGAGAGAGAAACGGGCACGGTGGCTCATCCTGTAATCCCAGCACTTTGGGAGGCCGAGGCCAGCAGATCATTTCAGGTCAGGAGTTCAAGACCAGGCTGGCCAACATAGTGAAATGCCGTCTCCACTAGAAATACAAAAATCAGCAGGGCCTAGTGGTGCACACCTGTAATCCCAGCTACTCGGGAGGCTGAGGCAGGAGAATCACTTGAACCTGGGAGGTAGACACTGGAGCGAGCCAAGGTTGTGCCACTGCACTCCAGCCTGGGTGAGAGAGCGAGACTCTGTCATTCATTCATTCATGCACAAATAAATGTCCTCATCACACCTCCATCCTCCCCAATGCAATCTCCCTCCCAACTCCACCACCTCGTGGCTCACTGCAACCTCCACCTCCCGGGTTCAAGTGATTCTCCTGTCTCAGCCTCCCAAGGAGCTGGGATTGCAGGCGCGTGCCACCATGCCCAGCTAATTTTTGTATTTTTAGTACAGTCAGGGTTTTGCCATGTTTTATATTTTTGTAGAGCCAGGGTTTCGCCTGACTTGCCAGGCTGATCTCAAACTCCTGACCTCAAGTGATCTGCCTGTAAACAGAATATTTTTGTTTCTTTTTTTGTTTTAAGGCGGAGTTTCACTCACCACCCAGGCTGGAGTGCAATGGCGCGATCTCGGCTCACTGCAACCTCCGCCTCCGAGTTCAAGTGATCCTCCTGCCTCAGCCTCCCGAGTAGCTGGGATTACAAGAGCCCACCACCACACCTGGCTAACTTTTGTGTTTTTAGTAGAAATGGGGTTTTGCCATGGTGGCCAGGCTGGTCTCGAACTCCTGACCTCAGGTGACCCACTCACCTCGGCCTCCCAAAGTGCTGGGATTACAGGCGTGAGTCACCACACCCAGCCTCAACTGAACATTTTGCTCCTCCCTGTTTTCTGTTACGTATTGTGAACTTTAAAAATGAAAAACTCGCATAACGTTCTCAACGTTTTTAAACTCAAATTCTTCGCAGGGCACAGTGGCTCAAACCTGTAATCCCAGCACTTTGAGAGGCCAAGGCAAAAGGATTGCTTGAGTTCAGGCGCTCAGATCAGCCTGGGCAATAACCTTGTCTCTACAAAACATCAAAAAATTAGCTGGGCGAGGTGGCGAGTACTTGAGTCCCAGCTACTTGGGAAGCAAAAGTGGGAGGATGGCTTGAGCCCAGGAGAGTCGAGGCTACTATGTTCACTACTGCACTCCAGACTGGGTGACAGAGTGAGACCCTATCTCAAAATAAATAAAATAATTACAAATATATAATAAATATTATAAATATAAAAGTAAATAGCAACTGAGAGACTTTTGGCTGACCATATCAAAGGAATTCTTTTTTTTTTTTTTTTGAGACAAGAGTCTTGCTCTGTCGCCCAAGCTTGGAGTGCAGTGACGCAATCTCGGCTCACTGCAACCTCCGCCTCCAGGGTTCAAGCGATTCTACTGTCTCTTCTGTCTCCCGAATAGCTGAGATTAAGGCACACGCCACCACAGCTAACCTTTTTATTTTTAGTAGAGACGGGGTTTCACCAGCCTGTTGGCCAGGCCTGGTCTCGAATTCCTGACCACAACTGGTCCGCCCACCTCGGTCCTCCAAAGTGTTGGGATTACAGGCATGAGTCACCACGCCCGGCTAAAAGGACTTCTTAATTAGAGCTGCCTGCAATGGGAAATCCGACTGGACAGGAGGTATTAAGGTCCCTAAAACTGCAGACGTTCAATGGGAAGTCTGATTGTAAACATGCATGCTGTTTAAAGGATTCATGCATCCTGAAGATGGACTTTGTAAAGATCTCCAATGGCCTGTCACTTCCCAACAGTCCATTTTCTTCTTAAAAATATCACCGAGGCCAGGTGGGTGGCTCACACCTGTAATCCCAGCACTGTGGGAGGCCGAGGCGGGAGGATCACGAGGTCAAGAAATCAAGACCATCCTAGCCAACATGGTGAAACCCCGTCTCTACTGAAAATACAAAAATTAGCTGGGCGTGGTGGCACGCGCCTGTAGTTCCAGCTACTCGGGAGGCTGAGGAAGGAGAATCGCTTGAACTCGGGAGGTGGAGGTTGCAGTGAGCCGAGATCGCGCCGCTGCACTCCAGCCTGGCGACAGGGCGAGACTCCGTCTCGAAGAAAAAAAAATTTTTTTAAGTGATCTGTTTCCTGGAATCCAACCCCAAACAATCCACGTTCCTCAGCATAAGCCTACTGGTGTGATTCCCGTTACATGAGCTCGGAATGCTATCTGCCAACAAATGAGAGCACCAAACATCCCAATTTAAGAAGCTTTTCTTCACACCTTACCAAGCTATGTGAAACTGGCAAGGGTGATTACTGTCCTTGTTTTTCAGGTATGGGATTCAGGCTCAGAGGTTGGTCACTTTCTCAAGCGGGTCACAAACTCGAACCCTGAACCATCATTTCTAAAAGTCGCGCTTTTACTTAGGGAGAGACGGCCTGCAGCTTCCCTCCCTACTCTGCGGCTCCCCAGACGAAAGTTACCTTCCTCTGCCTTCACAAGCTCCTTCACATCCTCCTTCCCTATGAGCCCAGGCAGGGCAATTCAACCTCCGTTCCCCGCCACGAAAACGCTCCCAGCCGCCTAGCTAGTCAGACGGCCTGCCCCACCTCTGCGCCTCACAGACTTCCACACGCGGACTCACCGGCGCCGCTAGAAGGACTCTCAGCCGGAAACTCAGCCCGACACTCCTCTCCGCCGCTTTAGGGGCGCCCCGGAAGTCATTCCGCCGCGCCCTGCGGCCACGCCGAAACGTTCCGGATGCTGCAGAGTGCAGCTGCCGGAGCGGGGCGCTCAGGTGCAGGGCATGGCCTCCGCTGAGTTGGGGCGCGGAAAGGGACGGTGTTCCAGCTGGAATTCGCAGAGAACCGGAAAGAGTGATCGCCATTCGCTCTCGGAAGGTCGAAGGCTCTGCAGCCATCGACCTGGGTTCTGAGGAGCTCGATCTTGTCTTTCTACTTCTAAAAGGTTGGGATGAAGGACCCTGGCCACAGAAGTAAAGCCAGAATTATCCTTGCTTCTTGCTGTGTATTTCAGGACTCCTCCATTGCTCTTGCTGTTCATTCAACAAACATTGAGCATCTACTTTGAGCCTGATGCATGTCTAAGCACTGAGGAAATAACAATGAAAAACTGACAAAAATCCTTGCTCTCGTGGAGTTTTCCTTCTCCAAGGGGAGTCAGTATGAAGAAAAACATATACTATATGAAATGGTGATAATGCTGTGGAGAAAAACTAAGCACTGAAGGGGAGAAGTTTGCAGTTTAAAATAGGGTGGCCAGGCCGGGTGCGATGGTTCACGCCTGTAATCCCAGGCATGGTGATTTGGGAGGCCGAGCGGGGGTGGATCATCGGAGGGCAGGACTTCGAGACCAGCCTGGCCAACATAGTGAATTCCGTCTCTACTAAAAATACAAAAACATTAGCCGGGCGTGCTGGCAGGCGCCTGTAATCCCAGCTACTCGGGAGGCTGAGGCAGGAGAATCGCTTGAATCCAGGAGGCACAGGTTGCAGTGAGCCAACCTTGCACTCCAGCCTGGGTGACAGAGACTTCATCTCAAAAAATAAAATAGGGTGGCCAGAGGAGTCCTCGCTGGGAAGACAGTTAAGCCATGACCTGAATGAGGAAGGGTGTTAACCCTGCTGATACCTAGGGGAAAAGCTCTTCAGACAAAGAGAGCTGCAAGTGCAAAGGCCCTGAGGTAGAAGTGCATTGGGGTCTTTGACGACTGCAGGAGTGAGCAGGGGATGAGTGGTGGAAGCTGCAATCAGAAGGGTAAGGTGGGGAGGAGAGGCTGTGAGCACTGTTAAGAACTTTGGGGGAATTGTGATGGCTTGGACCAGCAGCTGGTGAGAAGTGACTGAATTCTAAATCTTACCAATACACTGGATGTGTGTTATGAGAAAAGAATCAAGGATACCTCCATAGTCTTTAGCTGAGCAACTGAAAGGTTGGGGTTGCAATTATTAAAATGTTGGCGGGGTGGGTAAGATCAATTCAGTTTTGGACAAGTTGTATGACTGCCAATTAACACAAGTGGAATTACTGGCATTTCCCATACTTGAGAAATGGAGAGGCAGTGCACCCCCAGATGAGAAAAGGGTTAGGAATAACACAAAGGAACTGCAGAAGCTAGGGCCTCTTTCCTTCCCCATCAGCATACTCATCCCCTCCATTGCCTTTATTTTATTGTTAAAAATTTTTCCCATCTCTGTTGTCTCCCTCAAAAATATAAACAGAAGGTATCTTGCATAGCAGTGGAAAGAACAGCCCTGGATTTAAAATCAGGCTCTGACACACTGGCTGGGTGACCTCAAGCAAGTCACAACCCAAGTCTATGAACTAATGTGTAAAATGGGGTTGTCTCCACCAACCCTGCAGGGCTTAGTGGGAACTCCATAATCAGTCTCATTTCCTCCCAGAAGACAGGATTTTAAAAGGGAGAGGAGGGGAAATTAGTATCGCAGTGCCAGGAAGCTTCCATGCTTGCCTCCCTCCCACCTTTGACCTCATTAGAGGACTCACACACAAATTCCACACTTTTCCTTTTGTGCCCTTCCTTCCTATCCACACTTTTGCTTCCTTCCATCTTAATTGACCATCCTATTTGCAAGACGGGATGCATTCCTCTAGGACAAACAGCCTAGAGGAATCCCAAGCCCCAAGTTTCTTTCATATGTTTGTTATCCATCAGCCTGGGAAGGCTTTAAGGAAAACCAGGAAAAAGATAGAGGACTCCCCAATAAATATAAAGCATATTTGCGAAGAGAGGAGACTGAAACAGTTTTCCCAACTGTAATATTTGTTCTGTATAGATTTTAGACATGGATGTTAAGATTCAACTAGGAATGGTACTACAGCAAAACAAAATATGCATAAATCCATAATCTCTTGGCATGATTATGACTGACATATTCTAATCATTTACAAAGTGGTAGAATAAATTATCTAACCTACTCAGATGTTTTTTCAACTTGTAAAACTAAAAGACAACTATAAAGAATGGATAATCTGTTCTTTGCCCATGAGTGGCCAGACACTATCAACAGGGTTAGGACATTCACAATCAGCTCAGCCAGTGGAATCAGATATAAAAAGCATGCAACTTGAAAGACTGGGAGAAGTGAACCTGTCTATTCCAATAGACAGGCTCCCTTACAGGGAAACTAAATCATTCCAGAAAGCCTCATCTAAAACCTCTGTAATTGACAACAGTATCTAACAATCGTGATCTTGATAAGTAAACTATTTGCTGTAACCTAAAGAAGCATTTGTTTATCATGTACAAATATTTAGAATGCCAATCCTGCATTCTCTGCCTAGAATTCAAAAGAATTTACATTCTAAGGCTGCACCCAGCACAGATCAATCATATGGGATTGGATGACACATGCACTTTTAAAAAACACAATTTGCTTTTAGAAAACTTGTTAAAGTTTCACCTTCTGGCTTTGGAAGATGGGGGTAGCTAGGCATATTTACTTTTAGACAAGGACTGAGTCACACATTAACTACCTTCTTAACTATGAGATTATTACAAATATATTTTTACAAATACAAAAAACTGAAGTACAGAGAGGCTAAGTTAATTTCTCCAAGGTCCCACAGCAAGTAACTGCAGAAGGGCAAAGCAAAAATAGGACAACACATGTAGGCAATACCAAGCAGTTCTTGTGGCAGCAACTGGAAACCTTTTGGAGACACCATTCTGCATTTCGTTGTAGTCATACACAAAACCCTAGTTATGTATCCATGCTTCTTTCTCATAATGCCAAAGTGGCACTATTCTAATTTACTAACAAGGTTTTCTAAAAACTACCCAAATTATTGAGGTGTTTTTGCTCACTTCTTCCCATTAGAATAAATGTAGACAATAAGAAACGCATGAGGGATGACATAGTCCTCCATCAAATCTGTCCTTTCACACAAGAGATGGCATGGTGTAGTGTAGCAGAATCATGAGCTGCCAGGAAATTATGAATTCTGATTCCTCCAGCTGAGTCTTTGAAAAAGTCCAGATGAGAAACACTTCCATCCTGATGCTGAAGCAAGGAGAATGTCCTTGTGTGAGGAATTCTCACAACACCAACTGAAGCTAAGGTCCCCGGAGCCATGATAAAAGCACTTTTCTGCCCTGATTCTTCTTTACACACATGTACCCATTCAGGTCTTTACAGATGTTTCACAGGAAGCATTTATGTTACAAGTACTTAAAATGCACTCGAAATTAATATAGGATACTTTATTTACATCAGAGTGATCTCACATTATCCAATCCATTAACAAAGTCAACACAGGATGGAAGTATAGAATCTAACAGTTGAAGAGACTAAGATCCTAATCCCTTGTTTTGCCACTTGCTAGTGTGACAACAGCCAGTTAATCTATCATATCATTAGTTCCTTGTCTATAAAAGAAGAATAAGAAATGGTCACATGTCAAAAGATCGTTGTGAGGATTAAATATTATATATGTACTTATGTGTATGTAACTTATTTACTATAAATACTAGTTGACTTCACTTTATTTCAAAAAATATAAAGCACATATGACAAAACATTAACACATGTTATTTCTGGGCGGATGGTACTTATATTTTATACTTTTCTGTATTTAAATTTTTCAAAATAAAATAATGATCCTATATACTTTTAATACAAAATCACATATGTAGGGCATCACTTTATACGCAGGGAATCTTTACAAAATGAACTATGTGCTATCACAACAAACTCCTTAGAACAATAGTTTATAACAAAGCAGAATTCCAGACAAGAACTACAGGTCAGAAATGGAAGGGATGTCGGAAATCTAATCTAAACCTCTGACTTTCTAGACTAGGAAGCTGCTTGAGTGGCTTTTCAAATTTACATCCAGCTAGTTAATGCCAACGCCAACAGAAACACCCTGATCCTAGTTTCCTAAAACGGTATTTAGTATAAATACACATGAAAATTTTTCTTATTTTTGAAATTTCAAAGTCCAATTTTATAACACAATTTTACAATGCAAATTCTTGCTGTTTCACTTTCTGGATTCAGCTGAATAGTTTTGTGAAAATACTGACAAACTTGCCTTCACGAACTGACTTCCAAGAACAAATTGTTAAAACTTTAACAGAAAAATCAGTTAAAGGTGCTCATCAAGAGAATCCTTTTCATTTGGTATAAATTCAAAACTATGAAAATACCTTTTGTATTATGTGCATGCAGAAAATTAAGAATTTATTCAATTTGCAGAAATAAATCAGTGATATAATGGAAACATTTAAAATTTTATCTCTGGAAAATAATTCAAAATCATCTATCAAAAATTATAGGCCGGGCACAGTGGCTCACGCCTCTAATCCCAGCACTTTGGGAGGCCGAGGTGGATGGATCACCTGAGGTCAGGAGTTCGAGACCAGCCTGACCAACATGGAGAAACCCCATCTCTACTAAAAATACAAAAAAAAAATTAGCCAGGTGTGGTGGCGCATGCCTGTAATCCCAGCTACTCGGGAGGCCGAGGCAGGAGAATTGTTTGAACCTGGGAGGCGGAGGTTGTGGTGAGCTGAGATCGCGACATTGCACTCCAGCCTGTTCAACAAGAGCAAAACTCCATCTCAAAAAAAAAAAAAAAAAAATACACACACACACACACACACACTTAGGCCAGGCATGGTGGCTCACGCCTGTAATCCCAGCACTTTGGGAGGCCGAGGCAGGCAGACCACAAGGTCAGGAGTTCAAGACCAACCTGGCCAATATGGTAAAACCCCGTCTCTATTAAAAATACAAAAATTAGCCAGGCATGGTGATGGGCACCTGTAGTCTCAACTACTCGAGAGGCTGAGGCAGGAGAATTGCTTGAACCCGGGAGGTGGAGGTTGCAGTGAGCCAAGATAGCACCACTGCATTCCAGCCTGGGTGAGAGTGAGACTCTGTCTCAAAAAAAAAAAAAAATTATATACCTAAATATCTGAAATGCATACTAAAGTTCAGTTTATAGATTATTCTAAAAAAAAGTTTTTAGAAAAGTCTAAGCTGGGATGATCACAATCAACTTGGTCAGCACAGTGCTATCAACTAATTTTACTAATAAGAATCTGAATTTTTAAAAAAGTGATACAATTTAAGGGCACCATTTGAAATTATTTGGTATTTCGTGGTATAGCATTCTATTCCCAGACATATCAGCATTCTTACAGCCAAAGGAATGGGAAACGACTAACCAGCACAGCATCCAAAGGAGTATAAACAACAACAGATACAACTCCTGAGTGTGGTTTTCCATTGCTGTATGTTAACAGCACTAATAACATCAAACAGGTTATTATGGAAAGAAAACACCAGGTTTAATACCTTATAAAATATGTATAGAAATTGAACATTCCTGTAAGATACAGTTCAAGTCACAATTGAATTATAAATGTAATCAGATATTCTGATATAATGAAAAGTTCTAGTTGGTTTTTTAAAAAAGGCATGCAAAAAGATAAAAAGTATTTAAAAACACACAAAATTCTAACCACGGGGTTTAAACTTTGATCTTAAAAAAGTAAATATATATTTACAATCTTTAAATTTCACACATTTGTTACTTTTACATGATCTTTATTATTTAAGAAAAACCTCTTTTAACCATTTATATAACAGAAAAAAAATAGGGAGGCTGGTAGATCATCACATATATAGTAGCTAAAATATGAAAGGCCAGGGAATTTATTATTAATGAAGTCATAAAACAGACTTAACCAAAAGTGTGTGCTAGGAAACAAGCAGTTTCACTTCAGAGACTTCATTGCAGGAACCCAGTTTCCTTATGTGGAAAAAAGTGATTATAAATAACAGTTATCTGAAAGGTGGTTGAGAGGATTAAATGAGATCACCTATGCAAACAAATACATGTAGGTATGAAGACATCGTCTGGGGTGTGAAAGTTTAGTTCACACCAGAACCTTCCTTTAAGGCTTAAAAACCTCAAACAGTATTTCATTCTTAATACAAGAACCAATGTTTAAAGCATAAAATCCTTAATTGGAGTGTTCAGCCCAGTTGATTATCAAAAGCGATTTATAAAATGCTTCAATACTGATGATGTTAAAGCAACCAAAACTTTGTGATGCTCACAGAGGTTTGGCTTCCGGGGTTATGGTCCAAAGTCATTTGCCTTCTGAGAAGATTGCAGAGATGTCAGATACTTAATTTCTCAAACAACTTGGCATCAGCCTTCTATGTTTTCTGTCTATCATAGTCTCCAACCATCTTCTTGATGTGTGACAATTTGCTCTTTAACTGCTTGCAATGATTCTTCTTACTTTTGTAATCTGCAGACTAAAAAGGGAGAAAATGAATCACATAAATTCAACAAAATGAAAACAGGTCTGCTGGGAAGGCAGAATTGAACACAGAAATGGAATATTTAGTCAAGAGAATTGCTGGGAGTGTTAATTGAAGTAAAATACGCAAGGTGCCTGGCAGTATCACTAACCACACAGGCAGCTGATTCTATTTGCTCAGTTCTGTCTTCTAACCTGGGTTTTTCCAAAGGATACCCTCATTTCTAAAAATCTGTAAAATGACCAAGAAAACTTACCAGCCTTTTTGCTAACACATCATCTAAAACTGTAAGTAAAACAAGAGACTGGTGATCTCATTTGACTGGGGAAAGGGAAGCTGAATAGGGGATAAGAGAGATGGGAAATTTTACTGTATACCCTTTAAACTCTTATTTCAAATCATGATGCCTGTAATTTATAATTTTTTTTTCTTATTTTAGAAAGGGTCTCATCCTATTGCCCAGGCTGGAGTGAAGTGGTACAATTATAGCTCCCTGCAGCTTTGAACTCCTGGGTTCAAGGGATCCTTTTGCCTCAGTCTCCCTAGTAGCTAGGACTACAGGCATGTAACCACAGCACCTGGATAAGTAATTTACAAAAATTTTAATATAATTTTTTTTTAATGTTTTAAGTCAATAATGACTGTCATGCCAAGTGTTAGCAAGGATATAGGGCAACAGGAGTCTGTAGTGGTTGGTGGGAATGTAAACTGGTACAAGTACTTTGGAAGGCCATTTGACAGTATCTACTAAGGCTGGATAGACAAATGCCCATCACTTCTACGCTCAAACATTTACAAATATGTATGAAGCTGCAATATTTTTAAATGCCAAAAATTGGGAACAACCCAAACGTTCATTGACAATAGAATGGATGAATAAAGTTGCATTTTATATACAACACTACAAAGCAATAAAAATTAATCAACCGGCCAGGCGTGGTGGCTCACGCCTGTAATCCCAGCACTTTCGGAGGCCGAGGCAGGTGGATCACTTGAGGCCAGGAATTTGAGACCTGCCTGGCCAACATGGTAAAACCCCATCTCTACTAAAAATAGGAAAATTAGCCAGGTGTGGTGGTGCTTGCCTGTAATCCCAGTGGCTCGGGAGGCTGAGGCAGGAGAATTGCTTGAACCCAGGAGGCAGAGGTTGCAGTGAGCCGAGATTGTGCCACTGCACTCCAGCCTGGGCGACAGAGCGAGACACTGTCTCAGGAAAAAAAAAAAAATTAATGAACCATGGCCGGGCATGGTGGCTCATGCATGTAATCCCAGCACTTTGTGAGGCCAAGGCAGGGGGATCACCTGAGGTTGGGAGTTCAAGACCAGCCTGGCCAATGTGGTGAAACCATGTCTTTACTAAAAATACAAAAATTAGCCAGGCATGGTGGTGCGTGCTTGCAATCCCAGCTAGGCTGAGGCAGGAGAATTGCTTGAACCTGGGAGGCGGAAGTTGCAGTGAGCTGAGACTGCGCCACTGCACTCCATCCTGGGCAACAGAGCAAGACTCCGTCTAAAAAAAATAATAGTAATGAACTACAAATGGACCCTTACAAACACTATACTGAGCAAAAGAAATCACACACAAAATACATACTGTGTGGTTCCATTTATGTAATGTGCAAGATAGACAAAACTCTATGATGTTAGAAGTGAGCATGATGGACCCCTCTGGAGAGAGTGTAAACACTGGAAAGTAGTACAAGTGAGGGTGGGGGTGCTGGGGGTGGGGAGGTACTGGGAAATATATTTCTTGATCTGCATACGCAGGTATGTGGTCACATTGTGAAAATTCACCATGTTATACACTTTGATTTATACACTTTTCTGTATGTATACTTCAACTTTTAAAAAATATATAAAATAAAAAATGAAAAACATGTAATAGAAAAGCTCTTCCTCCAGATGAGTAGGTATGGGAATTAAAATAAAAAGAAGAAGAAAGAAAGTTCTTCCTAAAAGAACAATCTCGGATACTTACTCCCTTCACTTGCTTCAGTCTATTGTATTCATCAGCAGCAGCCTATTAACGACAGACACAAAGGAATATGTTTACTGGGGCATTTTCTCTTTTAAAAGTAACATTCCTGATGTTATACTTTGGAGCTAAAAATGACAGCTTATGACAAAAATATAAGCAATTAAAAGAATGAAGTCGTAAAGCTCTTAAAACTCATGATCAGCAGGAAGGTCTGAAGGAATTCAGTGAAGAGACATTTATGATACTGTATCTTTCACATTTCACTCACATAGGCAGGTAACTATCTGTTCTGCTACTTCTCATCTCTCCTCATGCCAGTCCCCATGCTACACTGACACCAGGAAGATCTTTTATAACACAGAGCGCTCGCTGATCAGGTAATATCCCACTACACAACTGGTCTGAGCTTCCCATTAACTTCTCCCCTCATCCAGTTTCCTACCTTTCCAGTCTCAGTACCCATCATCAGCAACTCCTTTAAAAACTGAGACATGTTAAATGCTTCAGGATTTCAATCATGTTTTCCTTATGGCTGTAATCATGCACCTCCCCGCACCCTTCTGTCTGGAAAGCTCTTAACGATTCCCTCACTGTGAAGCCTCCAAAGACTTTATTTCTTCTATGAGCAGTTAGTTATAGTGCTTTCTACACATGATGCAAATACAGCATTAATCATACTGTCTAAATTGTTTAGATGTCAGGTTTTTTTTCTTAAAATATAAGCTCTTTTAGGGTGGGGACAAGATTTTATGTCTCTAGCTCCAGCATTTCCACATCATCAAAGAAAAATAAGTGATCAATAAATGTTCACTAAATTAAGAAAGATCTATAACACCCTATAGAAACCATAAAAGAAATACATAAATCTAACTATATAAAGATGTGAATACGTCAAAACTAAAAAGTAGATCACCTCAACTGAAAAATGGCAGAATATTTAATGAGATGTGCATCAAATGAGTCCTGTATTGTATCAAGAGGGAGACACAGTTGGTGCAGTCTCTCTGGAGGGCAATTTTGCAACTTTGCAAAGGTACGTACCCTCTGACTCTCAGCAATTTCACATTCTGGAATTAGTTTTAGTTAGATAAGCAGGCTGGGCGCTGTGGCTCACACACGTAATTCCAGCACTTTGGGAGGCCGAGGCAGGCAGATCACCTGAGGTCAGGAGTTCGAGGCTAGCCTGACCAACATGGCAAAACCCCGTCTCTACTAAAAATACAAAAATTAGTCAGGTGTGGTGCCACATGCCTGTAATCCCAGCTACTCGGGAGGCTGAGGCGGGAGAATCACTTGAACCTAGGAGGCGAAGGTTGCAGTGAGCCAAGATAGCGCCACTGCACTCCAGCCTGGGCGACAGAGCAAGACTCCGTCTCAAAAAAAAAAAAAAAAAAAAAAATTAGATAAGTAGACAAGAGTGCAAAAACAGAGAGGTTCACCAGTATATACTGGTACTACTGGAGTAGGGGGAGACATACTTAAATGTCTATCCATAGAAAATGACTCTTAAATTATGATACAACCATAAATTTGAAAGTTGTTTACCTAATTTTACACATAAAAAACTTAAAAGTAAGTAGGTCTTTATTATTGATATAAAAAAAAAAACTTGCTGTTAAGAAAAGACAGAAATAAGCAGTGCAAGGAAGTTTTTTTGTTTGTTTTTTTTTTTAAAGATAAAACCCCACAATAAGAGTATGTCAAAGGGACACGGGAAGCAACTGAAAGTTCCCAACGGTCAAAGCGAGAACAATTAGAGCTACAAAATAAAGCAGCCTTGGATTATAATTCACAGTATAAAACAGGTATCTGTAAAGTCCATACTTACGTAAGTGATTGACTGATCAATAAAGGAACAAATTAACAAGAAGAGATTAATCTCCCTCTAAAAGGTGGTGTAACTACATTAATTTCAGTATGTATACAAAATACAGTATGAAAAGGATGGATTGAAAAAAAAATCCAGTAACTTTACATGGACAAATTCTATCTCAGCCAGGTGATCAAGGGAGGGAAAAAAAAAACCCATAAACTGTTGATTTAAAAGACAGGAAGAAAATAAGTGAAACATGGAAGATGATGTTTCCTTAAAGAAAGGTGTATGTGCCTTGGTGACTCCTGCTTGGAGAGATTGTTTTAACTAATATTTTGGTGATAAGGATTTCTTGATGGTAGGATTTAAGATGATTTCTTTTTCTGTATACAGTTCTGTGTTAAGTTCTTTTTTTTTTTTTTTTTTTTTTTGAGATGGAGTCTCACTCTGTCACTCAGGCTGGAGTGCAGTGGCGCGATCTTGGCTCACTGCAAGCTCCGCCTCCTGGATTCACACCATTCTCCTGCCTCAGCCTCCCAAGTAGCTGGGACTACAAGTACCCGCCACCATACCTGGCTAATTTTTTGTATTTTTTTTTTTTTTTTAGTAGAGACGGGGTTTCACTGTGTTAGCCAGGATGGTCTCGATCTCCTGACCTCATGATCCACCCACCTCGGCCTCCCAAAGTGCTGGGATTACAGGCATTAGCCACCGTGCCCGGCCGCTTAAGTTCTTTTCTACAGAAAGAATGAATGGCTTTATAAATAGGAAAGATAATAAGGCTATTTTATTATTATTATTATTAATTTTTGAGATGGAGTCTCACTCTGTCGCCCAGGCTGGAGTGCAATGGCGCAATCTTGGCTCACTGCAACCTCCCCCATCCCGGGTTCAAGCAATTCTCCTGTCTCAGCCTCCCCGAGTAGCTGGGATTACAGGTGTCTGCCACCATGCCCTGCTATTTTTTGTATTTTTAGTAGAGATGGGGTTTCACCATGTTAGGCACGCTATTCTCTAACTCCTGACCTCAGGTGATCCACTTGCCTTGGCCTCTCAAAGTGTGGGGATTATAGCCATGAGCCACCATGCCCAGCCTGGCTATTTTATTTTAAATAGGAAAGGATAGATGTACATAGAATAGTGCTTTGTAGGGGCTGGGCGCGGTGGCTCACGCCTGTAATCCCAGCACTTTGGGAGGCTAAGACGGGCAGATCACGAGGTCAGGAGATCGAGACCATCCTGGCTAACATGGTGAAACCCCGTCTCTACTAAAAAAAAAAAAAATACAAAAAATTAGCCGGGCGTGGTGGCGGACACCTGTAATCCCAGCTACTTGGGAGGCTGAGTCAGGAGAATGGCGTGAACCCGGGAGGCAGAGCTTGCAGTTAGCTGAGATCACGCCACTGCACTCCAGCCTGGGCAACAGAACGAGACTCCACCTCAAAAAAAAAAAAAAAAAACAGAATAGTGCTTTGTAATTATTAACTATTATACATTAGTACAATCTTCTATTAGGAAAGAATTTCATCCAAAACCCAATCTCAACTATTCTTCAATGAAACTGCAGTTTGATAACTACTAGCACATTTTTATCAACATTAATATAAAGGATGCTGTACCTCCACAGATTAGATTCAAATTCTGTTTAATATATAAATATCAGGTTGAATTTACCATGTACTCTTCACTTTCTTCTCTATAGTCATCCAATTCTTTATCCAAACGGGAGAGTTCTTTATTGATCTCATCAAGTTCTGATTGTAAGCTCTTGTATTCCTGTAGGCCAGTGTCAAAATTCCTCTTGTACAGTTGTCTTTGTTGATCTGAAGTGATAGGTGGATATTCCCTAAAAGGTGAGAGAGAAAATGACTACATATGTATCCTTAGCAGACATAAAATTCAATGCTCCTTCCTCAAAGATAATAAAGCTGGTTGGGTATGGAGAATGACATTTTCTTGTTTCGTTTTTGTTTCTTACGGGGAAAGAGAGAGAGAATACAAATAAGTTCTATTAAGAGTGACTATATATTACTGCTCATTTTTTAAAAAATAAAAACTATGCCTACGTAATTTGCAGAAATAATTTTGAAAATCATTTACAAAATTGAAGGTACAAGTCATAGGAACTCACTTATTTCCCATACACAATATCAATAATGGACTACTTATGTTTATAAAGTTTTTCTTTTCTTTTTTTTTTTTTTTGAGACAAAGCCTGCTCTGTCACCCAGGATGGAGTGCAGTGGCACAATCTCGGCTCACTGCAACCTCCACCTCCCGGGTTCAAGCGATTTTCGTGCCTCAGTCTCCACAGTAGCTGGGATTACAGGTGCCCGCCACCACGCCCGGCTAATTTTTGTATTTTAGTAGAGACAGGGTTTCACCATGTTGGCCAGGCTAGTCTCAAACTCCTGACCTCAGGTGATCCACCTGCCTCAGCCTCCCAAAGTGCTGGGATTACAGGAGTGAGCCACCATGCCTGGCCTGTTTAAAGTCTTAAAACTGGAATTCTGGAACACAAAGTCCGCTTTGATCACCACAGTGGCAGCACAGCTGACTGGAAGTGGCTGTTTCCTGCTACCACCCATAGTTTTCAGACTGGTTTATTTATTTTTTGCTCTTGTTTTTCCGAAGTGGAAATAGCTTATCTACTTCTTTCACAATAAAAATAGACATTAAAAATGTACATGTATAAAAACATGTGCTCACTGTTAAAATAATCTGGCAATTCATTAAAGTATAAAGAAGAAAAACTGAAATTTTGTATCACACCTATTTCTCAATATACCAGCCACTCCTTACATAGGAAGACGATGCCATTAACCCATAATCCATAGAGAAAATACTCTGAATCCTTTCACAGGACTGGAGTTTCACAATGATGTGGAATTTCAAATTTTAGATCTAACAATCTAACATCTTCATTTTACAGAGGGGAGAAATTTAAATGATTTGATCAAAAGGGAAACAAGAATTTCAGATTTTGAAAATTTTCAGGCTGGGCATGGTAGCTCACCCCTGTAATCCCAGCACTTTGGGAGGCCGAGGTGGGTGGATCACCTGAGGTCAGGAGTTTGAGACCAGCCCAGCCAACATGGTGAAACCCTGTCTCTATTAAAACTACAAAAATTAGCCGGGTGTGGTGGCGCATGCCTGTAATCCCAGCTCTTCGGGAGGCTGAGGCAGGAGGATTGCTTGAACCTGGGAGGCGGAGGTTGCAGTGAGCCAAGATCGTGCCACTGCACTCCAGCCTGGGCAACAGAGTGAGACTCTATCTCAAAAAAATATATAAAGTTTTCAGTTAAATCTTCCGTGATACAAGTTAGGTGAATATTTTACAGATAGATGGCTAAGCCAGGCCAAAAACTCTTGAGGGGAGAGGGGAAGATAAAGTATCAGAATCATCAGTGAATAGGGGATCTCAAGCTACCCATGCCCCGCCTATCATTCCTCACTCTCTGAGAAGCGATGTTTTGATTACCATTCACATTGCAAATGTTTCTGATGTGCGTCTTAGTCCTCAGAATACTTGGGCATAGGAAGGCTACACATCATACACAAATACATTTGGTGATGGTGGATGGATTGTAACAAAACCACCAAAACACAAAGAAACTTAACCACAACTGTGGCTGAACACTAAATTGTTACCTCAATTGTTTACGGAACTCTTTGGATTAAACTTTAAAAGAAACTCTCGTCTTATCATTTTAAGCTTAATTTAAAAAATAATTGCCGGCCAGGCGCGGTGGCTCACTCCTGTAATCCCAGCACTTTGGGAGGCCGAGGCAGGGAGATCATCTGAGGTCAGGATTTTCAAGATCAGCCTGGCCAACATGGTGAAACCCGTCTCTACTAAAAATACAATAATTAGCCGGGCATGGTGGTGGGCGCCTGTAATCCCAGCTACTTGGTAGGCTGAGGCAGGAATTGCTTGAACCCGGAAGGCAGAGGTTGCACCGAGCCGAGATCGTGCCATTGCACTCCAGCCTGGGCGACAGAGCAAGACTCCGTCTCAAAAAAAAAAAGTAATGCCAAAGGAAAACCATAGCACTGGTTTGGGAATTTTATAATTAGTAAAACAAAGTTCTTCTATACCTGGATTTTATTTATTTGAAAGGCCTTTGGTTGTTTTTTGAGATAGGGTCTAGCTCTATCACCCAGCCTGGGGTGCAATGATGCAATTATAGCTCACTGCAGCCTTGAACTCCTGGGCTTAAGCAATCCTCCTGCCTCAGCCTCAGCCTTCCGAGTAGCTGGAACTACAGGCCCACACCACTATGCCTGGCTGGTCTTGAACTCTTAGCCTTAGCCTCCCAAAGTGCTAGGACATCTTTCTTCCGTGACTATTGGTATAAGAAAGAGCACTGGTGAAGTTCACCAGCCACACTGTGGAAAGTTCAAAGTGGTTACTGCCAAAGTTCAAAGACATGGTTACTGCCAAACATTCTCTCCACTTCAAACTTTGTCACAAAAGGGTGCTAAGGAAAAAACCAGCCAACACCACACAAAAAACTGTCTCCAGTCCTGGTTGGCAAAGAATGAAATTACACCAGTGACCTCAATTTGGGAGGCAATAACTCCAACACCTGGTTGGTCTCCTTTAATTATCAGAAGGAGCACGTGGGCCAGGAAAGGAGAGCTGAGTCGGTACCTGATCCAGTCCTCCTCCAGCTCATCACAGGACTCGCCGCCAGTTGTGTAGTCTGTCTCATAGTGATCTTGCTCTGTTCTCTTTGACCTTCCTGCTCTTCCCTTTGCAGGTGCTCTTTTTGAAGGTGTCTCAAAGTTACCACCGCTGCTGTAACGAGGCTGCCTGAAGTCATCCACAGGCGAAGTTAATGGAAGCTCCTGAACCACTTCAGGAACCCTAATAAAAACAGGCATCATTGTTCAGTACACTACAGCCCTTTGCCAGTGCACTGTAATCACAGAGCACAGCCATAATAAACACCAGCAGACATCTGCACGCAGGTGCACTCACGCGAGGACTTCAGATGTTCAACACTGAGCAGATGCCTCGTTTTCTGCATTCAATTTGACAGCAGTTCAGAGTCCTCTAATACACACAAGTAGTAGGTTCCAATTTAAAGGGGAGTAGCCATTTTTATACCTTCTAAGTACAATGGATCTCAGATTTCATTTTAAAAAGTTCAGGCTGATCTATAAGAGGTGTTTACTTGACCTGTGCCAGGGACTTACTCTACAAAGGCTGTCAGGAAAACAGTGATCATTCTTTTCTACAGGCTCTTCTAGTTCCCTGGAATGCTGCATGGGGAAGAATGCACACATGCTCTTTGTAATATTGATCTTATACTACCATATATCAATTATCATATTAAGATAAAATCTTGCAAAATAAACTAAATATCTAAACTAAAAAAGTAAAAAGCTTTACATTGCAATAAATTAAAGAGTTCCTTTAGGATTCTTTTTAAAATTGCTGTTAATCCTGAAGCCACGTAGAATGAATAGAAGGGTTACCATTACACACTTACTATTTTCTTCTAATACAATTATTTAAAGTTGCATCACAATTGCATGTTTCGGACACAAACATGAAAATAACCCTAACTGAGGAATAAAATACCAAAGTTGAAAGTGGGAACTACTTCTGAGTAAAAGAAATACGAAGTTTCATTTTCTTGTAGAAAAGGGCAAGAACAGAAATGAAAACACCAAAGAATGGGCCTAAGACTTTCCAAGCATCAGCCTTGCCATTCCAATCAACTATTTAAAATGTCTGAAGCGTTTCTTTTTGCTGCCAATTTACATAAACTATCATACTGAGCTCTTCCAGGTTTAGTCCCTTTTCTAGGTGATCCACATGTGCTTTGCTGTAACTGTTGTCAGAGTCTTAGATTTCTAAGCACACAATTTCTTGCAGACTCTAAACTTTGGGGTATGTGTGTGTAGATGCAGGTGGGGGTAGTATTTATTTCTTCTTTCAAGATTTATGGCCGGAGGCGGTGGCTCACACCTGTAATCTCAGCACTTTGGGAGGCCGAGGTGGGCGAATCACTTGAGGCCAGGAGTTCAAGATCGGCCTGGCCAACATGGTGAAACCCCATCTCTACAAAAAATACAAAAATTAGTGCACTGTGGCAGGCATCTGTAATCCCAGCTACTCGGGAGGCTGAGGCAGAAGAATTGCTTGAACCCAGGAGGCAGAGAATGCAGTGAGCTGAGATCGCACCACTGCACTCCACCCTGGGTAACAGAATGAGATTCTGTCTAAAAAAAAAAAAAATTATTCAGGTAATATGGCTTTGTGTGCTATGCTAATGTTACTTCTAATGGAGAGAAAATGTGACTTTCTCCATGAGTCAATGATTAACAAGTTCCTAGACACTCTGCCAAAACTGCCAGGTACTATGCCTCTTCTTTGAGGTAGAAAAACAAAACCTTTAGAATGCAGTGGATTCATTTTAGGGGTGGGGCCAAAGAGGGAGGGAACTAAAGGGCAAAAGAAATTAGAAAAAAACATAAAAACAAAAAGTAAAACATCAAAGTAGGCCTCCTGCCAGAATTTTTATGATATTAGATATTGATATATCTTTAACTTCGAAGTTTTCCTCCCCTCCTCCTACACCCCTTTAAAATATTAACATACTTGATCTAGCATGAAAGCTAAAAGCAAAATGTTTCACAAGAAAAGTATTCACTACAGGTGTGAGCAACACCACACTGGGCTAATTTTTAATTTTTTTGTAGAGACAGGGTCTCACTCTGTTGCCCAGGCTGAGCCTTCCACATTTCCCAAGCTGCGTTGATCTTTCCAGCCCAGCATGAAGTTTTCTTTCCCAAAGCTTACATAGCAAAAAGATTCTGATTGGCCCTTTTTGGGTCACTGTCATCCTTGAAGCCAGGAGAATGTTCTCTGATTAGCAAGACTTAGATATGCCTCCCAATAATGGTAGCAGCTCTAAAATACAGTGTGTACAACAAACGTCATTCTAATAGTCATGGCATTGTTGATCATGGGTTGTTTCTCTGCCTTCACTGATGCTGTGTGTAATCAGAAAAGAAGGATTCTTATGCATGTGTTTTCAATTCAGTAATTGTCCTGAACACCTGACATGCATAGAGTACTGAGCCAGGTGACCCTGGGAAGACCAGGTCCATGTTCTCACGGAGGCTGCAAAACAGGGGTGGAGGAAAGTGCACAACAATTCTGCTGAGAGTCAGGGCAAGGTAGGAGCAATAAAGGCAGCGTGAAGGAGTGTGAGAGAGAATAAAACAAATGACTGAAGAATAAAAAGAACAAGCCGGCCAGGTGCGGTAGCTCACACTTGTATAATCCCAGCACTTTGGGAGGCTGAGGCAGGGGGATCACTTGAGGTTAGGAGTTTGAGACCGATCTGGCCAACATGTTGAAACCCCTGTCTCTACTAAAAATACAAAAATTAGCTGAGCATGGTGGTGCAAGCCTGTGATCCCAGCTACTCAGGAGGCTGAGGTGGGAGGATCGCTTGAACCTGGGAGGTAGAGGTTGCAATGAGCCAAGATTGCACCAACACATTCCAGCCTGGATGACAGAGCAAGACTCCATTTCAAAAAAACCAAAAACAACAAAAAAAACCCAGGCATGGTTGCATGCACCTGTAGTACTAGCTACTCAGGAGGCTGAGGCAGAAGGATCACTTGAGTGCAGGAATTTGAGGATTCAGTGAGCTATGATCACACCACTGGACTCCAGCCTGTGTGAAACAGTGAGACCCTATCTCTAAAAAGTAAAAATAAATAAATAAATAAATGTAGATGGCTATCCTGTCACAACAGAAGCTGAACTGAGAAGAAAGCCAACATACCGACAGATGAAAGAGAGCACATAACAGCCCTGCTATCTTCTGAATCCTTCGATTATGCCATGACTGAAGCTACAGACGTCCTTGGGCCTCACGTGACTCAGATAATTCCTCCTTTCACTTAAGCTATTTTTTTTCATGATTTTTTTTTTTTTAATTGAGACAGGGTCTCCCTATGTTGCCCAGGCAGGTCTCAAACTCCTGGCCTCAAGCAATCTTCCCACCTCATTGGCCTCCCAAAGTGCTGGGATTATCAGCCTGAACCACCATGCCCCATCTTAAACTAGTTTAAACTGGGCTTCTATAACTCCTCTAACTTGCATAAAAGTCCTAACATCATCCTACCAGCCTATTACTACCAAACAATGGTCTCATTTAGCAATGCAAGGAGTCAGCCTTCTTTGAAAGCTTTGCATTGCAGCAACATTCAACTTCCTTGATTTATGAAGGGTAATTCAACCTGGGTGTGGACAGGATAGTGGAGAGTGTACCTAATAGGGCTCTCCCAAGTTCGTTTAGTAGGTTTGGAGAGGCAACCATCTTCAGCTAAATTCTGGTGTCCCCTGATGCAGGATTAATTCTCAGAGCTGACTGCCTTAAAATTCTAAGGTATGGGACATTATAAGCAAAAGGAACCAGATATGAGAGTAAACTGCATTATTCCATTTTATTTAAAGTCCAATAATAACACGTTCACTAACAGATGGTGACAGACATCAAAATAGCTGTTACCTTGGGGTGGGTGTGGGTGGGTATTGATGGAGAAAGGGCACATGGGGACCTTATGTAGGGCTCAAAATGTATCTTGGTGGTGGGAGTTAAGTGGTCATAGATGGGAAAACTCATCAAGCTGTATACTCAAGATTAGTGCTCTTTTTATGGAATGTACATTACGCGTTGGGAGAAAAAAACATCTTAATACTGATTTACCTCATCCTTGGCACGGATGGGTGGATGGACACAATGTTCTCCATCTAATTCCTTCTCTATCCACTAGCATGGTGAGGAAGAGAGGTGCTCATGGGTTACTAAGCACTTGCAAGAATGCCTTAGGAAAGACAGGCTATGACTTATGTGTTCTTATTCCCATTCAAGTGGGTGTCCTCTGAATCCTCTATAGCACTCAGTACTCTACTATGAACAACACTTTACAATTTCTATTGCCCCCCAGAGGCTGTAAAATCCTTCCATCATTACCATGCTCTGGGGGAGATATTGTGCATTAGTATCTCTTAGTACCACTCCCATTCACCCATTCATCTGGGTTCTAAAATGAAGCATCGTGTTTGCACTTTCCAGACCTTCAAAAAAAATTCTGGGGCATAAGTTTGGAGTAGAAACTAGTACAATCCTTAAGAAATAAAACTTTTACTACATCTATCAAAATGAAAAAATGCACATTTATTTTAGCTCAGCAATTCTGCCTCCAGATACATTCACATATGTATAAAGTGATAAATGTATAAGGTTATTCCTTATACATTTGTGGTCTGTAATAACAAAACATTGGGGGAAAGTGTGCATCATATAGGATTAATACATTAAGTATACCAGCCAGGTGCGGTGGCTCATGCCTGTAATCCCAACACTTTGGGAGGCTAAAGCAGGCAGATCAGTTGAGGTCAGGAGTTCAAGACCAGCCTGGCCAACATGACAAAACCCCATCTCTACTAAAAATTAGCCAGGCGTGGTGGTGGGTGCCTGTAATCCCAGCTACTCAGGAGGCTAAGGCAGGCTACTCGGGAGGCACTTGAACCTGGGAGGCAGAGGTTGCAGTGAGCCGAGATCGCGCCACTGTACTCCAGCCTGGGCAACGGAGCGAGACTCTGCCTCAAAAAATAATAATAATAAAATAAATAAAGTATACCTATTTGGTAGAATATTATACAGCTATAAAACACAATAGTGCTTCTTCTTGATTATAATTAAAAAAATAAAACAGAATCAGGCAACTCATTGCATAGTGATATGGACAATATCCAAGATAAAATATATTGCTAATGATACATTTGGTATGCTAATATTTTCTTTTTCTTTTTTTTGAAACAGGGTCTCACTCTGTCACCCAGACTGAAGTGGAGTGGCACGGTCTTGGCTCACTGCAGGCTTGACCTCCTGGGCTCAATCAATCCTCCCACCTCAGCCTCCCAAGTAGCTAGGACTAGAGGCATGTGCCACCATACCTGGCAAATCTTTATATTTTTTGTAGAGAGGGGGTTTAGCAATAATGCCCAGGGTGTTCTCGAACTCCTAGGCTCAAGCAATCCACCCACCTCAGCCTCCCGAAGTGCTGGAATTACAGGCATGAGCCACTGTGCCCAGCTCTGGTATGCTAGTATTTTAAGGGGGGGTGGGGGAATCAATGTACTTTGGCCAGTATCTTTATGTTTTAAAATCTGTGGAGAAATAGAAAGTGATGACATTAGTTGCCTCTGGGGAGAGGAACTAGCTAGCTGGTACCTTTTGTCCCTTTTAAATTTTCCACTACATAAAGTATTCAAGAATAAGAAAGATTAATACTTAAGGAATAAGACTTTCAAATTAATTTCAAATGAATTTGTGAAACTATCCTGGTTTTTGTGAAAAGGGACAACACCAGGGAATGCTGTGTAACCACGCAGGCCTTACAATTTAGAGGAACAGCTGGTGCCAAGATGCAGTATAGATATACATTTTGTATGTATGAAAGTTCTGCAAATTGGTCCTTTTATAGTTGATGAGCATGATGATTGGGTGTTCACACGCATGTGTGAAATGTCCCACCCTCAAATCTTGTTACAATATTGGCACATTACCCATCTGACATGAAAAAGGAGAAAAAAAAAGTTCTGCAAATCATAGCTTAAAAATTTTAGAGGCTGAGGCAGGAGGATCACTTAAGGCCAGGAGTTCAAGACTATCCTGGGCAACAAAGCAAGACCCCTTCTCTACAAAAATAAAAATAAAAAATTAGCCAGCCATAGTGGCACATACCTGTGGTCCTGGCTAAAGTGAGCTATGAAGCAAGAGGACTGCTTGAGCCCAGGAGTTCAAGGTCACAGTGAGCTATGATCACACCACTGCACTATAGGTCTGGGCGACAGAGTGAAACAGCATCTCAAACAAATGATGAAAAAAAAAAACTTAGAAGGATTGCATCTCTCTTGCGTACCCTTGTCCCTAACACTCTCAAGTGCTTTAGTTTTTGTCAAAATCCAAAGAGAAGAACAGAGAAAATGTGCTTTCTCCAAATCATTCACAATTGAAATCAACAGCAAGATCAAGTCTGAATACCAAAACAACTATGCACTCAGAGTAAATCTCATATATCATGGCCCACTAATCAGGAGTCGGGCATTGGGGATAAAACTTCAAAGCAGGCCAGGCGCGGTGGCTCACGCCTGTAATGCCCGCACTTTGGGAGGCCAAGACAGGTAGATCACCTGAGGTCAGGAGTTCGAGACCAACCTGGCCAACATCATGAAACCCCGTCTCTACTAAAAATACAAAAATTAGCCAGGCATGGTGGCGCGCACCTGTAATCCCAGCTACTAGGAGGAGGCTGAGGCAGGAGAATCACTTGAACCCAGGAGACGGAGGTTGCAGTGAACTGAGATCGCACTACTGCACTCCAGCCTGGGTAACGGAGTGAGACTCCGTCTCAAAAACAAAACAAACAAAAAAACACTTCGAAGTAACAAAAAAGTTATTTCCAGTAGATACACCTTTAACATAGACATTCAAACTAGCTGAAAGGAAATTTTTTGGGCTTTTTCAGTCTCCAAAGGAACTTAGAGTTCTAGAATTACAGTCACAAAGTCATAAAGACATTTCAGTCAATAAGGGACTAATAAAAGTATACGGCAAATGCAATTATGTACAGTATATAATACTTGACAATAAACGACTATGCTACTGGTTTATGTATTTACACTATATTTTTTATTAGATTCCTTCAACTTATTAAAAAAAAAAAGAGTTGAAACAGGAAAAAAAAGTTAAAAGAGCCTCAGGCAGGTGCTTCAGGAGGTATTCCAGAAGAAGGCACTGTCACCATGGAAGATGACAGCTCTGGGTGTGTTATTGGCCCTGATGACCTTCCAGTGCAACGAGATGTGGAAATGGAAGACAGTGATATTGATGTAGGCCTAGGCAAATGTGTATGTTTGTATCTTAGTTTTGGGTTTGTGTGTGTGTGTGTGTGTGTTTATTTTTATTTTTTTTGAGATAGGGTCTCTGTTGCCCAGGCTGGAGGGCAGTGGTGCAATCGCAGCTCACTGCAGCCTCCCAAAGTGGTGGGATTACAGGCATAAGCCACTGCACCCAGTCTGTATCTTAGTTTTTAACAATAAAGTGTAGAAACTAAAATAAAATTTACATGGTAAAAATAGAAAACAGCACTTTGGGAGGCCAAAGTGGGAGGATCACTTGAGGTCAGGAGTCTAAGAACAGCCTGGTGGCAGGGCATGGTGGCTCATGCCTGTAATCCCAGTACTTTGTGAAGCCGAGGCAGGCAGATCGCTTGAGCCCAGGAGTTTGAGACCAGCCTGGACAACATAGCAAGACCCTGTCTCTACAAAAAAAAATAGAAAAAAATAGCTGGGCATGGTGGAGCACATGTGTAGTCCCAGCTACTGAGGTGACTAAGTAGTCTCAGCTACTTAGGTGACTAAAGTGGGAAGATCGCTTGAGCCTGGGAGGTCAAGGCTACAGTGAGCTGTGACCACACCACTGCACCCCAGGCTGGGTGACAGATTGAGACCATGTCTCTACCAAAAAAAAAAAAAAAAAAAAAAAGCTTATAGAATAAGGAAAATACTTCTCTATATCTATATATCTATACAATGTAGGTATGGGATTTTTGGCTTTTCTTTTATTTTTGGCTGGATTTGAGCTCCCGGGCTCAAGTATGATCCCTCCCACCTCAGCCTCCCAATTAGCTGGGACTGCTGGTGTGCACCACTGTGCCAGGGTTTGTGATTGTGTTTTTTGTTGTTGTTCTTTTGTTTGTTTGTTTTTGAGACGGAGTCTCACTTTGTCGCCCAGGCTAGAGTGCAGTGGCGCGATCTCGGCTCACTGGGAGCTCCACCTCCCGGGTTCACGCCATTCTCCTGCCTCAGCCTCCCGAGTAGCTGGGACTACAGGCACCCGCCACCATGCCCGGCTAATTTTTCGTACTTTTAGTAGACACGGGGTTTCACCCTGTTAGCCAGGATGGTCTCAATTTCCTGACCTCGTGATCCACCTGCCTCAGCCTCCCAAAGTGCTGGGATTACAGGGGTGAGCCACCGCGTCCGGCCTTTTGTTTTTTTTTTTGAGACAGAGTTTCACTTTGTCACGCAGGCTGGAGTGCACTGGTGTGATCTCAGCTCACTGTAACCGCCGCCTCCCAGGTTCAAGTGATTCTCCTGCCTCAGCTTTCCGAGTAGCTGAGATTACAGGTGTGAGCCACCATGCCTGGCTAATTTTTGTATTTTTAGTAGAGACAGGGTTTTGCCATTTTGGCCAGGCTGGTCTCGAACTCCTGACCTCAGGTGATCCGTCCACCTGGGCCTCCCAAAGTGTGGGGATTACAGGCGTGAGCCACTGCACCCAGCCATGTGATTGTGTTTTAAGTGTTATTACAAAAGAGTCAAAAAAATTAAAGTTATAGAAAGCTAAGATTTATTATAGAAGAAAGAAAAATGTTTAGTAAATTTAGTGTAGCCTAAGTATAGTGTTTATAAAGTGTACAGTAATGTCCTAGGCCTTCACATTCACTCACCACTTACTCCCTGACTCACCCAGAGCAACTTCCAGTCCTACAAGCTTCATTCATGGTAAGTGCCTTACAAGATGTACCATTTATTTATTTATTTATTTATTTATTTAGATGGAGCTTCGCTCTTGTTGCCCAGGCTGGAGTGCAATGGCACAATCTCCACTTACAACAACCTCCGCCTCCCGGGTTAAACCGACTCTCCTGCCTCAGCCTTCCCAAGTAGCTGGGATTACAGGCATGCGCCACCACGCCTGGCTATTTTTAGTAGAGATGGGGTTTCTCCATGTTGGTCAGGCCGGTCTTGAACTCCTGACCTCAGGTGATCCACCTGCCTCGGCCTCCCAAAGTGCTGGGATTATAGGCGTGAGCCACCGCCCCCGCCAAGATGTACCATTTTTTATCTTTTATATTTACTGTACCTTTTTTGTGTTTAGATATACAAATACCACTGTATTACCGCTGCCTAGAGTATTTGGTATATTAACATGCTGTCTGCATTTGTAGCGTAAAAGCAAGAAGCTATACCACATAGCCTAGGCTCGTAGCAGGCTATCCATCTAGGTTTGTGTTAAGTACACTGTGATGTTCACTCAAGGATGAAATTGCCTAAAGACACACTTCTCAGTATTCCCATCGTTAAACAATGCATGACTATATATGTAAAAATAACGACTTCATCATCCTTAGGCAAAAATTACATCCCCGTCCATACCAATTATCTCCAATAGTCTTCTCTCACTAGTCATTAGGTGGAATTAGAATTGAGCTTTAGGGTAAGTGTTTCCACCACAGAGATACCATTTCAATTATCATATGACACCTACCCTAGGCCAGACGTTCACTGAGGTTTCACATCTCCCAGCAATACTGAGGACCTAGCACAGCAAATGAAATACCACAATTCCTGGATTCAAATGAAGTCTTCTAGTTTAACAGAAATGTATGTGGGCAGGGTTGATTAATGTGAAATGTCCTCCCTTCTGTTTATGAGATCCAACAATTATAGGCAAAAGGAGAGGCTGAGCACAGCACTGACCTCTGCTCAGTAACTTCCTCTCACCCTCACCTAAACTTCAAAACCAGAAATAGCAGAACCACATTCCTAGAGTGAAAGAACCCAACCCAACCTTTCAATTAAACAAGTAAGTGAAAAGAAGCATTTTCAACTTAGAAGGGAAATAGAACCCCACCCTCCTCATCCTGGTCTTCCAAGTAGCCGTAGGCCTCTGTACCAACAAAGCAAAGATTGTTGTAATACCAAGATCCAGATCCAGCTTTTGTGTGCACTGCTGGATATTTTTTTTAAGCAGAAAGGCACAAAAACAACAAAAACCAATTATATGCAAATACTCATTTTTACACTCAGTCTATCAAACTAAGAGAGATGCTACTTACGGCGTGGATTTATAGGAAGACTCTGGATAAAACCGCTTGTCATTCACTTTGCCATTGGAAGAGTATGCCATGGGACTGTCAACTCTTTCCACATAGTCAGATGGGGGTGAAGGCACGTCCTGTGTGCCTGCAGACACATTTTTAACCTTAAAAAACCCCAAGAGATAGTTATTATTTATCTTGTAATGAAAAGGGGGAAGACACTGAAGAAAATTATCTTATATACATTATCTAATATTTATGTGGCCCATTAAATACTATTAACACTAATAATAAAAAGGCAATCATTACAGGTTAATAGTTAAATCCACATTGTAATAGACATATAAACAGTGCTACTGCTAGTTTAAACAAGTATATTACCAAGAAGAAAAATCTGATCACCTAGTTCTCATCCTAATGTGATTAGGTTTCATAATTATCTATGGCAATTTTCCACCTCCATATTAGGAAGACTGGTCTCATTATCTCACGC
Source organism: Homo sapiens (assembly GCF_000001405.40). NCBI lineage: Eukaryota > Metazoa > Chordata > Mammalia > Primates > Hominidae > Homo > Homo sapiens. The sequence continues at coordinate 1,023,788 of NW_003315917.2, forward strand.
CCACATTAGAAAGACCACTCTCATTTAACCTAAGCCAGGTCTCGGTTAGGAGAATTTTCATTTCTAACAAGCTCTCAGGTAATGCTATGTTGCTGTCTGTGCACCACACTTGGAAAAGCACTAATCTAGAACAAAGCACACTGGTAGTTCTTAATCCATTCACCTCTCAACGTGGAATGTTAAAACCACAGAAGAAATTAAGAAGTTCAAGCTGACTTCTACTCTTTTAATAAGAGATTTGTTTATTCTCCCTTAATGTACGTTCTCTATGGCTCTATTACTAATAACCTACACAATATATCACACAACATCAGTGCCTTCCCTTTTCACTTTCCTTATTTCATTCTGATGTGTAAGTGAATTCATCCTACAAAAGTAACATGCATTAGAAATTATGCCTTAATAGGCCAGGCGCGGTGGCTCACGCCTGTAATCCCAGCACTTGGGGAGGCTGAGGCGGGTGGATCATGAGGTCTGTAAACAATTTACAGAAGACTAAAGGGATGGTGAAAATTAACTTTGTTAGCAATTTTAATGAGAATCCAAATATAGGAGACCCACATTTTTTCCCATATTTTCCCAGTTTTGAATGTTTATGTATACCTAAAAGGCATTACATCCTTTGAAAGCAGCTGTCATTATGCATGAATCTGGAACATACCTACCTTTAAATACGGATTTTGGATTTCAAATGCATCTCTACTATGTTCTACCTTATTATTTGTATTCTTCATGAACTCACTTTGTCAAAATGCAATACTTTTTGTTTTTTAATTTATTTTTATTTTTTGTAGAAATAGGGTCTCACTGTGTTGCCCAGGCTGGCCTTGAACACCTGGCCTCAAGTGATCTTCCTGCCTTCCAAAGTGCTGGGGACGGTAGGCATGAGCCACCACACCTGTCCAAACTGCAATACTTCTGAAAACTTTAGGGCTCATAGTTTTGTTGAAGTGATAGATGATGGCTATATTCTTTGTTACATAACAGCAAAACATTTTTGTTTTTACATTTATAAATACCAATTAGAATGACTTTCAGTGGATTGGTTTTCATTTTTCACATCATCTTTACCTTCCTGTTACTTTGTGTACATATCTGTCTTTCATACTTGTCCACTTACAAACTTTTTCAAGTAAATTCTGGTGTTACAAGCATAAAAGATGAAAGAACGTTGTCACATGGTCACTTGTCCTTTTAGCAATTATGCGATGATTCAACTGTTCTAGGTACAACTAGAGGGAGAGTATCCCAGGCAAGGGAGATAACAAATAGAAAGGCCCTAAGACACAAGTGTATTTAACATGTTTGGGGAACAACAAGGAGTTAATCGTGGCTGGAGTGGAAGTAAGGAGGAGAGATTAAGGAGATGGAGCTAAGAGAGGTAGTCAAGGGCCAGGCCATATGTCAGCGATAGTAAGGTCTTCAGCATTTACTTTTTTAAGCTGGGAGTCCATGGAAAGGTTTTGAACCCAAGGTATAGCATGATCTGACTTATAGAAAGAGACTTCTGATTGCTGTGTTGAAAATACACCATAGGTTTGAAGGGAGGAAACAGGCTGACTAGTTAGAGCCAGTGTGGGTAGTGGTGGTTGGATCTGAGTATATTTTCCAAGTGGAGCCACCAGGATTTTTCAGTAGATTGACTACATGTGGTGTATGAAAGAGGAGTGTCAAGTGTAACTCCAAGATTTTTGGCTTATGCAACTGGAAAAATAAAGTTAGAATTTAATGAGATGGAGGTCTGCATAAGGAGTACTTTTGTGGCAGGAAAGAAATTGGGTTTTGAACATGTGAAAATTGAGATGCCCATTAGTAGAAGTTGGATGTGAATAAAGAGTCCCGGCCAGGTGCAATGCCTCATGCCTGTAATCTCAGCACTTTGGGAGGCCAAGGCAGGAGAATCTTGTGAGCCCAGGAGTTCAAGACCAGACTGGGCAACAAAGTGAGACCCCGTCTATATTATAAAATAAAAAAATAGTTCAGAGGAGAGGTCTGGGCTAGAGATGGAAATGTAGAAGTTAGTAAATTTAAAGCTGTTGAACTAGAGGAGATAGCTGAGGAAGTGCATTCAAATAGAGAAGATGTCAGAGGAGAACTTTGGGGTTCTCTCAGTGGTTAGAGATAGGATATGAGGAAAAACAGTGCAGGAGACTAAGGAGGAGCTCTCATTGAGTTAGGAAAATCAAGAGGGATGCCCTGGAAGCCAAATGAAGGCAGTGTTTTGAGGAAGAGGGGTGATGGGCCATGTGAAAGCCAATAGGTCAAATGCTGCTAATGGGTCAACTAAAGTGAGGACTGAGAAGTATTCACCAATTTAGCAATGTGGAGCTCATTGGTGACCCTCATAAGAGCTGTTTTGGTGGAATGGAGGAGGTAAAATCCTGGAGGGGGAGAACATAAGAATGAGAGAACAGTTGACAGTGCATGTAAACAACTCTTTCACGGAACTTTGTATTTCTGAATTTTTGTTTATTTGGCTATTAATAAAATCATATCTGATATAGCTTTATTTTAGTAAGGTTTGTTTTTGTGGGACTTCAGTTGTGTATACACATATGTGTGTGTATGTATGTGCGTATGGTGTTTTGATGTAAAATTTATTATTGTGGGTCATGGTTAAAAAAAAAGCTTGAGAATGAGGAGTTAGATCAAGAAATAGAAGGAATGTTGACATAAGAAGTTGTGGATGTAGGAGATTCTACCATGTAGACACAGTGGAAGGATTTAGGGAGTTGGAGCAGGTTGGGATATGTGATCAGAAAGCGGGAGTTTAGCTCTCTCACTTGCCCCTGCTTTTACCATGTGATGTGTCTGCTACCCCTTCACCTTCCACCATGACTGTAAGCTTCCTGAGGTCTCCCTAGAAGCCAAGCAGATGCCAGCACCATGCTTCCTGTAAAGCCTGCAGAACCATGAGCCAATTAAACCTCTTTGTAAATTACCCAGTTTGAGGTATTTCTTTATAGCAGTGCAAGAATGCCCCAATACAGGAAATTGGTACCGAGAAGTTGGGCATTGCTATAAAGATACCTGAAAATGTGGAAACAGCTTTGGAACTGGGTAATGAGTAGTGGCTGGAAGAGTTTACAGGGCTCAGAAGAAGACAGGAAAATGAGGGTAAGTTTCGAACTTTTTTTTTTTTTTTTTTTTTTTTTTTGAGACGGAGTCTTGCTCTGTCGCCCAGGCTGGAGTGCAGTGGCGTGATCTTGGCTCACTGCAACCTCTGCCTCCCGGGTTCAAGTGATTTTTCTGCCTCAGCTTCCCAAGCAGCTGGGGTTACAGGCATGCACCACCATGCCTGGCTAATATTTTTGTATTTTATTAGGGATGGGGTTTCACCATGTTGGCCAGGCTGGTCTCGAACTCCTGACCTCAAGTGATTCACCCACCTCGACCTCCCAAAGTGCTAGGTTTACAGGCGTGAGCCACCGCTCCCGGCAAGTCTGGAACTTCTTAGAGACTAGATAAGTGGTTGTGACCAAAATGCTGATGGTGATAGGGACAGTGAAGTCCAGGTTGACAAGGTCTCAAAAGGAAACGAATTTATTGGGAACTGGAGCAAAAGTCACACGTTATGCCTTAGCAAATAACTTGGCTGCATTCTGCTTGTGTCCTAGGGATTTGTGGAAGTTTGAACTTAAAAACTATGACCTAGCGTATGTGGCAGAAGAAATTTCTAAGCAGCAAAGCATTCAAGATGTGGCCTTCTGCTACTAACAGCCTGTGCTCAGATGTGGGGGCAAATGAATGACTTAAATTTGGAACTTACATTTAAACAGGAAGCAGAGCCTAAAAGTTGGGAAATTTTGCAGCCTAGCCAGGTGGTAAAAAAAAAAACCATTTTCTCCAAGGAATTCAAGCAGGCTGTGGAGCAACCACTTGCTGATATTTGCATAACTGAAAGGGATCCAAGTGGTAATATCCAAGACAATGGGGAAAAGGCCTCAAAGGCATTTCAGAGACCTATGGGGCAGCCCCTCCTGTCATAGGCCCTGAAGCCAAGGAGGACTGAATATTTTCCTGGGCTGAGCCCAGGGCCCTGTTGCCCTGTGCAGCCTCAGAACACTGCTCCCTGCATCCAGATGGCTCCAACTCCAGCAGGGGCTCAAAGGGGCCTAGGTACAGCTTGGGCTGTTACTTTGGAGGGCATAAGCCATAGCCTTCACAGCTTCCATTAGGTGGTAAGCCTGCAGGCACACAGAATGCAAAAATGGTGAATTCTTGGTAGCCTCTGCCTGGATTTCAGAGGATGTATGGAAAAGCCTGGGTGTCCAAGCAGAACCCTGCTGCAGGGGCAGAGCCCTCACAGAGAGCCTCTACTAGGGCAGCGTGGAGGGGAAATGTGGGGTTAAAGGCCCCACGCAGAGTCCCTACTGGGGCACTGCCTAGTGGAGCTGTGAGAAGAGGGCTACTGTTCTCCAGAATGGTAGAGCCACTGGCAGCTTGTACCCTGCACTTGGAAAAGCCACAGGCACTCAACCCAGCCTGTGACAGCAGGCTGAACTCTGCAAAGCTATAGGAGCAGAGCTGCCCAAGGCCTTGGGAGCCCAACCCTCATATCAGCGTGCCACATGGAAACCAAGGAGATCATTGTGGAGTTTCATGATTTAATGACTGCCATGCTGGGTTTTGAACTTGCATGGGGCCTATAGCCCCCTTTTTTGGCAGGTTTTTCCCTAATGGGAATATTTCCCCAACCCCTGAACCCTGATTGTATGTTGGAAGTAAATAATTTGTTTTTTATTTTATAGGCTCATAGGTGGCAGGGATTTGCCTTGTCTCAGATGAGACTTTGGACTTCTGAGTTAATGCTGGAATGAGTTAAGACTTTGCGGCACTGTTGGGAAGGCATGGTTGTATTTTGCATTGTGAAAAGGACATAAGATTTGGGAGGGGCCAGAGGTGGAATGATGTGGTTTGGATATTTATCTCTACTTATGTTGAATTTTATCCCGAGTGTTGGAGATGGGGCATGGTGGGAGGTGTTTGGATCATGGGGGCAGATCCCTCATGGCTTGGTGTTACCTTTGTGTTGTTACTGAGTTCTCATGAGATCTGGTCATTTAAAAGTGTATGAAACCTGCCCCCTGCCCCCCCACTGTCTCTCACTTGTTTCTGCTTTCATCATGTGACATGTGTGCTCACCTTCTGCCATGATTTTAGTTTCCTGAGGCCTCCCTAAAAGCCGAGCAGATGCCAGCACCATGCTTCCTGTAAAGCCTGCAGAACCGTGAGTCAACTAAACCTCTTTTCTTTATGAAAGAAAAGGAAGGAAGGGAGAGAGGGAAGGAGAAAAAGAGAGAGGGAGAGATGGATGGAGGAAGGGAGGGAGGGCTTACAACCATGAGGACAGTTTTTAGGTCAATGAGGGATGACTTGGGAGTCCTATGAAGACTGATGTAAACTAGAATAAAGGGCATGATGAGCTTATGATTCAAAAGTATTTCGTCATAGAAATAGTTTGTTTTCTGTAAAAGAACACAGTAAATATTTTAGCTTTGTAGGCCACTGAGTCTCTGTTGCTTTAAAAAATGTGAAAACCATTCTTAGCTTGAGGGCTGGACAGTCCAGGGCCATACTTTACTGACCGCTGCTTGAACTAAACGCTGTTAGAAGCAGCTCTGGAAAAATAATTTGCATGGAATCTTATGATTTTTTTTTTTTTTTTTTGAGGCAGAATTTTGCTCTTGTTGCCCAGGCTAGAGTGCAATAGCGCGTTCTTGGCTCACTGCAACCTCCGCCTCCTGGGTTCAAGCAATTCTCCTGCCTCAGCCTCCCGAGTAGCTGGGATTACAGGAAGGCACCACCATGCGTGGCTAATTTTGTATTTTTAGTAGAGACAAGGTTTCTCCATGTTGGTCAGGCTGGTCTCGAACTCCCAACCTCAGGTGATCCACCCGCCTCGGCCTCCCAAAGTGCTGGGATTACCAGCGTGAGCCACTGCACCTGGTCAAGTATTATGGTTTTTTAATAGTATGCACACATGGGACAAAACTCAACTGGTATAAAAGGGTATGCAGGAGAAAAAAAGCAAACTTCCCTCTCTCCCTTTTCTGTCCACCAGCCATCCTGTTCTCCTCCCTAAACTCAATTATGGTTGCCTGTTTTTTATATAAGTTTTCCATGAATTTATAAATACATCACGTGCATATATCCTGTCAGTCAATATTAAGAAATTACTAGGTTATTTTGTGTTTATGTGTGCACTATTAGATTTAATGAGTTATGCTAGTTGTTGCCTCTTATATCCACATTCAGTCTTCATTGTCTGTTCTGTAATAATAGATCTGGGCCCTGTAAATACCTCTCCCATGACAGTAAGCACAGAGTGAAACTTTGTCAATCGAGGGTGCTGCTGACACACTGAAGGGGCAAGGGCTGCTTTTCCTGGTTCCATTGTGCTCCTCTAGGCAGACACCTGCAACACCTGTGCCATCTGCAATACCAGCTCCTGTAGCACATACACTCTGCCTCTGCAGCACCTCGTTCTGGCTGCACACTTCTTGGGCGGTGCCTAACTTCAGCAGCACCCAATGGTCAGCAGCGCACAGTACCCCCACATGAATGGCTTCCCTTGACATGCACAAGGTCCCTTCTCTGCAAAGTGCCCCAAGCCCAGCACCTTCTCCAGCTGCAACTCCACAGCCTCAGCAAACCTCTGTCTTTCACAGCTGTGTCCTCTCACACGAAGTCTGGATCTCAGCCCGGATCTCAGCCCTGAGCTTTCTTCTTTGAGTTGTTCTGTCTCAGCCTGGGGTGAAAAGCCCATATCGGCTGTTCCCTGCATCTGCCCAGGCTTCTCTTTATTCCTTACTACCCAATCCCCATTCCAATCCTCTGTTAATAACTCTTACGGACAGTCCCCAACTCATGATGACTTGACTTAGGATTTTTCTACTTTGCAATGGTGCAAAAGTGATCCGCATTCAGTAGAAACTGTTCCTCAAGTACTCATACGACCTCTATTTTTCACTTTCTGTACAGTATTCAATAAATTGCGTGAGATTTTCAATACTTTATTATAAAATAGGCTTTGTGTTTATGATTTTGCCCAACTGTAAGCTAATATAAGTGTTCTCAGCGTGTTTAAGGTAGGTCAGGTTAAGCGATGATGTTTGGTAGTTTAGGTATATTAAATGCATTTCTGACATACAATATTTTCTACTTACAATGGGTTTTTCAGGATATAACCCTGTTGTAAGTTGAGGAGCATCTTATTTTATTTATTTATTTATTTATTTGAAATGGAGTCTTGCTCTGTCACCCAGGCTGGAATGCAGTGGCACGATCTTGGCTCACTGCAACCTCTGCCTCCTGGGTTCAAGCAATTCTCCTGCCTCAGCCTCCCAAGTAGCTGAGACTACAGGTGCACACCACCATGCCTGGCTTTTTTTTTTTTTTTAATTTTTTTTTGTATTTTTAGTAGAGACAGGATTTCACCATGTTGGCCAGGCTGGTCTCGAACTCCTGACCTCAAGTGATCTGCCCACCTCGGCCTCCCAAAGTGCTGGAATTACAGGCGTGAGCCACTGCGTCAGGCCGAGCATCTGTATATTAAACTTTCCCCATTCAAATTTCTGTGTGGTTTCTGTCTCCTGACTGGATTCTGATATAATGCTTAACAACCTTTCTAATTACAAAGGTATTACATATAAAATCAGACAAGCAAGAAGACAATCCATCCCACCTTCTAGTACTCTTGCCCTCCAGAGGTAGCTCCAGTTAATATTTTAGTGCTAAACTAGATTTATTTTTGTTTTAAATAGAAAAATAATGCAGGCACGAAAGTAAAACAAAAAACAGTACAGAATGGGAGAGACTGAAAAGTAAGAATGGCTTCCAGGCCCACTTCCTAGAGGTACGCACTATTAACATTTTTAGATATAAACTTCCAGAAATTTTTTTCCAGTTTTATTTAGGTATAATTGACAAAATTATTTATATTTCAGTTGTACAACATGGATGTTCAACATGTTTTGGTGTACATATACTTTCTGATATTATAAATGGTTACCACAAGCAAGCTCAGTAACATATTCAGAAATTCTTAATGTAGCTAGCAATATAAGTGGTTTTGTTTTTTGTTTTGAGACAGACAGGGTCTTGCTCTGTTGCCCAGGCTGGAATGCAGTGGCGCCATCTTGGCTCACTGCAACCTCTGCCTCCCGGGTTCAAGCAAGTCTTGCGTCTCAGCCGCCCTAGTGGCTGGGACTACAGGCATGTGCCACCACACCTGGCTAATTTTTGTATTTTTAGTAGAGATGGGGTTTCACCATGCTGGCCAGGCTGGTCTCGAATTCCTCACCTCAAATGATTCGCCCGCCTCAGCCTCCCAAAGTGCTGGGATTACAGGTGTGAGCCACCGCACCCAGTCATAAGTGGTTTTCTAAACAAATGAGACCACACCATACATACTGTCCCTATATTTCATACTTGGGCAAGGGGAGGGGAGTTGACTTTTTTCTTAGTGAGAATAAAAATGAGGATAAAAGTATGGTTGTTTACCAACTTATAGTAGTATCATGAATTTCGAATGGTCTTCTGGCCGTTCAGAAAACTACTTAACTGGTAGGAACGAAATTCTGGACACTGACATTGATATAGACACTCATATCAAATATAATACTATGAAATACTATGATATGGAAATAATATGCAATCACTAGAGATAAAATATTTTCTACCCAAGTAGAGTGGATTCATAAGAAAATTCTAAATTATAGCATATGTTGAACTCTGAGAAGCCTCTGGAATGAAGTCATTTTTCCCTAACCCCTGTTTCCTCTTTATATTGGCAGTGGATAAATGGAAAGTAAGTTAACTCTACTGTACCAAAGCTAGTTCAATATAGAAAACAGGTTCTACAAGGATTAAGGAATATTCTACAAGGATTAAGGAACATCTCTTGGCCCACAGAAGATTCATGTGGTTCCTGTGTTAAACCCGTTTCATCCATGTATGAAAGTGATTCAACCGTTAAGTTAGCCATTTATTATATAAATTGAATACTTCTTCCATATTGTGGCTTTTAGATAGATTGGCAGACCTGTCCCCAACCCCTTCCCTGTTGACCATGGACAATGGAGGGTTAGCTGTATAAACTTGATTGAAGGGTTTGCCTTTAGCTGGGGTGGATTACTCAGGGACCTCAAAGGTATTGGTGATGATTTATTTCTTGAGCTTGGTGGTGAGTATGCAGGACTGTGTTTTGTTTTGTTTTGTTTTTTAGCAAGCCTTACACATTTTCTTTTGTATGCAATATTTAATAAAATAATTTTGGATAATTTGGTTTTTAGCATTAATCAACAACTTTTTTTACATCCTCAATATGCCCCAAGACAAATTATTGATTCAGCAGTTTTTAGCTGAATCTTTTATTTCTGAATGATTGGAGAGAACGGCAGTATCCATTTCTGGAGAATAGTTAAGTACTTAGATTGAGGATGTCTTTCTCATCACAGGCTGGTCTCAAACTCCTGGACTCAAGTGATCCTCCTGCCTCAGCTTCCCAAGTAGGTGGGATTACAAGCACGTGTCACTGTGCCCAGCTTAATATAATATTTTGAAAATATCTCCTTAAAAACCCCAAAGAGCTGATGGGTTAATAAAGAACCACCTGGCAAAAATCTAAGGGAGAAGCAGAAACCAAAGAAGTACAGCCAAGCCTAAAGCACTGACGCCATTGTGCTGAGAGTTTCACCATCCTGGACAAATATGAGCTTCTCTTTTGGTCTCACAGGAGGTCACATGCCAAGGCACATCATGCCTACAAACCAGACTAAATTGGCAAGTCACAGTGGCTCACGCTTGTAATCCCAGCATTTTGGGAGGCCGAGGTGGGTAGATCACTTGAAGTCAGGAGTTCGAGACCAGGCTGGCCAACATGGTGTTCAGTGTTTACTAAGTTAAGGAATGATGGTGCCTAAGTCATTTAGCTAAATGATGTATTTAAGAAAGATGGCTGCACCGTTTTCCATGAACTATTAGGATAGGCTGGTGAGAAACAGGGAAATACTTCCAATGACTACGGATTAGCAGATTTCCTTCCTGCTGAGCTGCCAGATCTGTAAGTTGCAATGTAAGACCAGCCTAACCAAAAACAAAATAAAATAACCCTACAAATTATTTTGGAGTGGCAACATTATATTAGGGATTTCTTTTTTTTTTTTTTTTTTTTCTGAGATGGAGTTTTGCTCTTGTTCCCCATGGAGTTTTACTCTTGTTCCCCAGGCTGGAGTACAATGGCGCGATCTCGGCTCACATTGCAATCTCTGCCTCCCAGGTTCAGGTAATTCTCCTGCTTCAGCCTCTCAAGTAGCTGGGATTACAGGCATATGCCACCATGCCAGCAAATTTTTGCATTTTTAGTAGAGGCAGGGTTTCACCATGTTGGTCAGGCTGGTCTCGAACTCCTGACCTCAGGTGATCTGCCCTTCTCGGCCTCCCAAAGTGCTGGGATTACAGGTGTGAGCCACCAGGCCCGGCCTATATTAGGGATTAAGAACTCAGATTTTGGAGTCAAAATTCCTGTATTTGAGTCACAGATATACATTTCCTTAGCTGGATATTACGAATTACTTTATCTCTTTATGTCTCAGTTTTCCCAGCTACAAAATAGCATTAATAATAGTACTTTACTTTCGCCAGGCACAGTGGCTCATGCCTGTAATCCCAGCACTTTGGGAGGCCGAGGCGGGAAGATCATGAGGTCAGGAGATCGAGACCATCCTGGCTAACACGGTGAAACGCCGTCTCTACTAAAAATACAAAAAATTAGCTGGGCGTGGTGGCAGGCACCTGTAGTCCCAGCTACTTGGGAGGCTGAGGCAGGAGAATGGTGAACCTGGGAGGAGGAGCTTGCAGTGAGCCGAGATCGTGCCACTGCACTCCAGCCTGGGCGACAGCGCGAGACTGTCTCAAAAAAAAAAAAAAATAATAATAATAATAATAATAATAATAGTACTTTACTTCATAGAGTGGGTATGAAGACTGAGTTCATATTTGTGAAGTGCTTAGGATACTTCCTAGTGTGTAGTAAAGGCTCAATAATTACAAACAGCACTCTGCTTTCTTAATGAGAAAGAGTGCTATTCCTCACAATTTACCATGGATACAGGCTACACCCTTAGAACCACAGGCACTTTAACTCTTAAATAAATTATTGGCCAAGTAGCTTTTCCAACTTACGTAAACACAAGTATATTAAAGTGCCATCCTTACCTAGTTTGGAAGGATCATACTCAGCTGAAATTTGGATCAATAATTTCTCCATATGGTGGAAGTTTGGAAATTCTTCAGGAATGACTGAAAAAACATTTATATTGCCCTCCAGATCCACAGACAGTTCTTTCAGGCACAGGAACTTATCCAGATTAGGAAAGATTTGGTCTGGAAAGCAGCACAGTTTCCCATTATTAATCTAAAGAGTTCTGAATGGACATTTTAAAACTGTCATTTTGATTCATCCAGCTATTTTCACATGCAAACCTTCCACATACCATAAAACATTCTTTTTTTTTTTTAAAGAATACATATATGAAGATATTGCTTTTTGCAGCTTATGCACTGTATGGGAAGCCCTGTGCTACTCTTCAGACTCACAAAAAGAAATACAGCATCTCGGCTAGGCGCAGTGGCTCATGCCTGTAATCCCAGCACTTTGGGAGGCTGAGGCGGGCGGATCACGAGGTCAGGAGTTTGAGACCAGTCTGGCCAACATAGTGAAACCCCGTCTCTACTAAAAATACAAAAAAAAAATTAGCTGGGTATGGTGGTGTGCATCTGTAATCCCAGCTACTCAGGAGGCTGAGGCAGGAGAATCACATAAACCTGGGAGACGGAGGTTGCAGTGAGCCAAGATCGCGCCATTGCACTCCAGCCCAGGCTACAGTGTGAGACTCCGTCTCAAAAAAAAAAAAAAAAAAAAAAAAGAAGAGAAAAGAAATATAGCATCTCTTCAACAAACGGTTGGGGACAACTGGATTTGCACATGCGAAAGAATGAAGTTGGATTCCTATCCCTCACCATGTAAAAAAAATCAACTCAAAATGGATCAACGACCTAAATATAAAAGCTGAAATCACACAACTCTTAGAAAAAACATAGGAGTTAATCTTCATGACCTTGGATTTGGCAATGGATTCTTAGATAGGACACCAAAAGGACCAGCAATAAAAGAAAAAAACAGATAAATTGGACTTCGTCAAAATTTAAAACTTTCGTGCACAAAGGACATTATAAATAAAGTAAAATGACAACCTATGGAATGGGAAAAATATTTTCAAACTGTGTATCTGATAACAGGTTGAAATCCAGAATATACAAATAACTCTTACAATGCAACAAAAACAACAACAATTTTTAAATGAGCAAACAGATATTTTTTCAAAAAGTGAAAAGATACTTAACATCATTTTCATGATTTGCATTAGAGAAATGCAAATCAAAACCACAATGAGATACCACTTCACAACTACTAGAACGGCTTTATGATAATCACAAAACAAAATGGGCTGGGTGAGGTGGCTCATACCTGTAATCCCAGCACTTTGGAAGGCCAAGGTGGGTGGATCATTTGAGCCCAGGAGTTCAAGACCAGACTAGGGGCCAGGCACGGTGGCTCATGCCTGTAATCCCAGCACTTTGGGAGGCCGAGGTGGGTGGATCACCTGAGGTCAGGAGTTCAAGACCAGCCTGGCCAACATGGTGAAACCCCATCTCTACTAAAAATACAAAAATTAGCTGGGTGTGGTGGCGGGAGCTTGTAATCCCAGCTACTTGGGAGGCTGAGGCAAGAGAATGGCGTGAACCCAGGAGGCAGAGCTTGCAGTGAGCCGAGATTGCGCCACTGCACTCCAGCCTGGGGGACAGAGCGAGGCTCCATCTCAAAAAAAAAAAAAGAAAGAAAAAGAAAAAAGACCAGACTAGGCAACATAGCAAGAATCTGTCTCTACAAAAAATAAAAAATTATCCAGGCACGGTGGTGCATGCTGGTAGTCTCAGCTACTCAGGAGGCTGAGGCAGGAGGATCACCTGAGCTCAAGAGGTTGAGGCTGCAGTGAGCCATGATTGCACCACAGCACTCCAGCTTGGGCAATAGAGCGAGACACTGTCTGAAAAACAACAATGAAAACAAAAACAGGTCGGGCACTGTGGCTCATGCCTGTAATCCTAGCACTTCGGGAGGCCAAGGTGGCTGGACTGCCTGAGCTCAGGAGTTCGAGACCGGCTTGGGCAACATGGCGAAACCCCATCTCTACTAAAAATACAAAAGTTAGCCAGGTATGGTGGTGCACACCTGTAGTCCCAGCTACTCAGGAGGCTGAGACAGGAGAATTGCTTGAACCCGAGAGGTGGAGGTTGCAGTGAGCCAAGATCTCGCCACTGCACTCCAGCCTGGGTGACAGAATTAGACTCTGTCTCCACAAAAACAAAAATTAACAAGTGCTGAAGAGGATGTGGAGTAATTGGAACCTTTGTACATGGATAGTGGGAATGTAAGATGGTGCAGCTACTGTGCAAGTTCCTCAAAAAGTTAAACATAGAACTACCATATGAATCAGCAATTCTGCTTCTAGGTATATACCCAAAATGATTAAAAGCAAGAACTTAAACCGATACTTATAATGCCAGTGTTCATTGCAGCATTATTTATGATAGCCAGAAGGTAGAAACAACCCAAGTGTCTCTCAGCAGCAGAATGGATAAACAAAATGTACTATATACATACCATGGAATATTAGCTATAAAAAGGATGAAGTTCCTTTTCAAAGTTGATACATAATAATTGTACATATTTATGGAGTACATGTGAAGGAATGAAATTCCAATATAGGCTACAACATGATGTACCTTGAACAGTATGCAAAGTGAAATAAGCCAGACAAGTGATAATGCTTATAAACAATATCTAGAAGAGGCAAATTCATAGAGACAGAAAATAGAAGAGAAGTTATCAGGGGCTGGTGGGAGGGAAGATTTTTTTTTTTTTTTTTTTTTTTTTTTTTTTTGAGACGGAGTCTCACTCGGTAGCCCAAGCTGGAGTGCAGTGGCATGATCTGGGCTCACTGCAACCTCTGCCTCCCAGGCTTAAGTGATTCTCATGCCTCAGCCTCCCGAATAGCTGGGACTACAGGCGCATGCCACCACGCCCAGCTAATTTTTTGTATTTTAGTAGAGACGTGGTTTCACCATGTTGCCCAGGGTGGTCTCAAACTCCTGAGCTCTGGCGATCCACCCTCTTCGGCCTCCCAAAGTGCTGGGATTACAGGCGTGAGCCCCCGCGCCCGGCCCAATTTATTGTTTAATTGGGATGATGAAAAGGTTCTGGAGATGGATAGCGGTGATGGTTGTACAACATAGTGAATGCTTAATGCCACTGAGTTGTACATTTAAAATGATTAAAATGTAAGCTTTGTTACATGTATTTTACCATAATAAAACAGTACTTGAAAAAAGATGAAAAATTTTCTAAATTTGGTAAATGTCAACCCACACATTCCAAAAAAGTTCAGTGCACCTCAAGCAAGATACATACAAAGCAAAGCACACCTAGGCATATAACAGTCAAACTGCTTAAGACCAAAGCAATACTAGCAACAATTAGAAAATGAAAAAATATTTTTAATGACATTTACAATACTTTCAAAAGATATGAGTATCTAGGAATAAATTTAATGAAAGATGGGTTAAGTCTACACTGAAAACTATCAAATAGTGCTTAGAGGAGTTAAGACACAAATAGATGAAGATATTATTTCCCATTAATTTATTTATTTCCCAGGGACTACAGGCCTTTCTTCCTTTAGGCAGCTAGGGTGAAGGTAATTTCTAAGCATCATCTTACATATAGCTAATTCTTTTACTAATAACAGATAATTCATGTCTTTATTAAGAACCTTCAATAATTTAATATAAATATTTTATTCATTTTGTCTGAGTTATTTGAAAACCATTCTATTATTCAAGGACTTTTCACTAATTCATGCTACTGTCAAAAAAAATTAGTGAAGGTTTATTTTATATCTGTTCTATCAATGAGCATGCATGCTTTCATGGCCTCAGAAGTTTTCAACCACTTAAAGTAAGAAAAAGAAATTATACATCAGAATAGTCATCCAAAATATATACAGGTATACCTTGTGACTGGATTGTCCCTGAGACTTCAAGAGATTCCAGGGAAGGCAGGGTGAGAAGCAGTTCCTGTTCGGCTGCGCTGAGTTCCAACTTGCTTATGGAGCACTTGGTGACAGAGGCCTTAGACAGCTCAAGAGCTGGGCGGATGCTTTCTATAAAGCCTCTGCTGTGGTTTAAATGGAGTTCGATGCGCTGTGAAGCTGAGAAAACTGTCATTAGAATCTCAAGCATATCCTGGCCTACAACATCAATATCATTCACATCGACTTCTAGACAGGGAATCTTGTACTGCTTTGGAGAAAGTTTCCAATAGCCAGTACTAAGGTCTGGTGATGCCCTGCGCTGCATATCCATATAGCTCTTTACATTATCCTCTTTTTCAGCTAAATTTCGCTCCCATTCATTCATAGGTTCAAAGGCAGAAGCATAGTCCTGATCTATAGTTGGCACCTGTGATTTGTCAAAACATGTTTCCAGAACTGAAAAATGTGCTCTGGGTGATGTCTTATTTCCTCGTATTGAGAAGTGGATGCTCCTCAACAATGACAAGCTTTCTGGGTGGTCGAAAAAGTACTGTAAGTTAAGCGCACCCAAAGTCAGTGTTCTCCCTTGAAGGAATTGCAAAACAAATGGAGAACACGCAGCAACAGTGTTGCTTTGATAAGCAGTTTTCAGGGCAAGAACCAGTAAATGTTCTGAAACCATTGAAAAGTAAGCTTGTGGACAAATTTGCCACAATCCCCTAAGTAACTGCATCTGCAGTGAAATTTCTGGCTGGTGCTTTAAGTAGTCATCATTTTCAGATATATTCTCCAATGACTCTTTGTTATCCACTAAATGGAGCAAATGAGACACAATTTTGGGCCCTGCTTTTGTTGAAGGGAGGCTGGAGACATAGTTCAAAAAATTGTTGTAGGCGCTTACAGTCATCATGGGTGAGTTGATTTGTTTCAAATGATACAGTCCCAAATCTTGATGTTCCTGCCTATCTGAATCCAGGAGTTCAATCAGCCTCATCCCCGCAAGAAATTCTTGGAAGGCAGGACTTAAAAACCGGTAGAATGGTCTTAGTCTCTGGGCTGTAAATTTGCTCATCAAGCACATGGTTAGATCTTCATCTTCATCAACCCCTGCTTCTGCGAGATCATCATCATTAAACTCAAAGCAACATGAAAAAAACCCTTTCAAGGCCAGCTCACCACAGGAGGACACAGTTGCTTTGAGAATTTCAGCTGTCGCTTTGTTCCTTAAGGAAAGGCGTTCCATATAGGACTTGAAAACAGCCACATCATCAAAGGATGGGTCAAAAGGATACTGAAACCAATGAGCACAGATCGCCGCCACAAAGAGAGGAGTTTTCTGTATCTTCTGCAAACTTTGGTTCTTTCCAAAGTAAACCATAAACTTTCGCAGACGAGTCATATTATGTGAAAAGAGCTTCCGTAATATACAGACAGTATTATAAAAGGGAAATGCTTTGATCTCTAGAATGGTCTCTAGGTATCGGCGGATGTCCCTGGCCCTGTTTGTACGGACAGCAATCAATAGGCAGGTCCGGGATAAGTGGTTTTTTTGAATCAGTTTTCCTATGACTTGAGGGATTGAACATATTTCTTTGTAGTCATCTAAAAGGAATAAGACCTGATTCTTTAACTGCTGGATAATGTTCCTCATGCACATTTCAGTAACAGATCCTTCTTTCTCTAGGAGCTGGTCACAGATGATACTGGCCAGCCCCTCGTCTGGTCTGGTGGAACTAAGGGAGAGGTAGAAAACCAGCTGGAACCTGTTTAACAGGGGACAGCATCCAGATGCCCACAGAAAAGCTATTTTCTTCAGGAGGACCGTCTTTCCACTTCCAGCTTCACCCTCCACACACATGACAGAGTTCAAGTTGCCAAAGACCTCAGGCAGCACCAGAGGTTCTTGCACAGGTTTGCTGATGTGTTTTGAAGCAATAGACAATCACAGCCCAGCAAGTGGTCCGTGGCCAGATCGGAAGAGATATCAAGCAAAGACATGTGGCGGAAACTGGCGCTGGTATAAGCTGCTCTCAGCTGCTCATTCAGATTCTTTGCCTCTTGAAACCACTGGGCTTCACCCTGTGCCATTTCTGTGGAGAGAAAGAAAGGGGGGCACAACAGGGATTCATAGTCACATCTCCCTCAGTCTGAACGCCATGCCTTTTCATTCCATGATTCTGCCTGTCTACTACGAATGTGTTAGGATTTTCCACAGCCATCCATGATTCCCACATTGCGATCATCTCATAGGTTTTGGCACAAAATCGGAATGTGGGAAGCATGTGTCCAAAGTGCCACACTTGAAGCAGGGACCTAGACATAATGTGTGCTTATCATAAGCACCATGCATCTCAGGAAAGAGGCCAGGCAAAGTGACTCATGCCTGTAATCCCAGCACTGTGGGAGACCGAGGCAGGCGAATTGCTTGAGCCTAGGAGTTCAAGACCAGCCTGGCCAACATGGCAAAACCCTGTCTCTACAAAAAATACAAAAATTAGCCAGGTGTGGTGGCACATGCTTGTGGTCCCAGCTACTGGGGAGGCTGAGATGGGAGGATCACTTGAGCCTGGGAGGTCGACGCTGCGGTGAGCCATGATCTTGCCATTGCATTCCAGCCTGGGTGACAAAGTAAGACCCTGTCTCAAATAAAATAAAATAAAATAAAATGAATAAAAATAAAAATCTCAGGAAAGAAGTTTACTGATTGGTGCTTCTAAGGACTGGTTTGCTTGTACCTGAGACACGTTGCCTACTATCAGTTTGGTCCTGCCTGCACTCTGGAGAAGCCACAAGAATCTTGACTTTTGCTCATACACGACACTGTTGCAATGCTGCTCCTCTTTGGAAGCTCTTTGGACAATTATAAATACTCTTTTTTTTGCAACTGCCCTGTATACAAATATATTTACAAATACATATAATCCCACGTGCTACTTCAAAGTTCTTACCTGGCACTATAGGACCAACTGCTATTGAATCTTCAAGATTGCTTTCACTTGTGGTTTCCTTTGAAAAATAAAATCTTTTCTTAAATCAAAATTTGTATAGGAGAGTGGTGCATCATGTTGTAATCATTGGAGACTAAACATCTTCTAAACACAGCCCACCCTCAAATATTTATGCTGATTGAAGGGAGGGGTGCTCCAAATATAAAGCAATTAATAATCTGCAAACATCTGCAGGAATGTGTGTTCCTCAGTGGTTCATATATGATACAATCCATGGGTGATACTATCCAGGTAACGAGAATCATAGTGTCTTGAGCAAGAAGGTTCCTCCAAAAGTCATTAGGTGCAGCCTCTGTCCTTGGTTAACTACATTTTTAATATTACACATCCAGTACTTAGAAAGGTTATGTTTCTTCCTTAAAAAATAAGCTATTTCTATATCCCCAAACTTTTTTCTTTAGTGCCATTTTTCAATTCATATAGAAAATGAATCACGTGAATAGCAAGTTGGTTTTTGTGTGTGTTGGGGGTGGGGGGATGACAAACATAACATACCTAACACACAGCCTCAAAATAAGGTGGTATATGTGTGCATTAAATTAGTAGTGGCTTATATCCCAGAGAACTAGGTAGGATTTCTCAGCTTAAAGTGGTCAGCCTATTACCTGGGTTTATGATTTTGTTGGGCACTTGCTTTTGTTAAAGTAACATCTTCTCAACCCCTAAAAAGGCCAAGTAGCAAATCCAGCCTTATTGCCCTCCACATGAAGATCCAGAGAGGATCCATTTAGCCTGGATGCTAATCAACAAAGTCTAAGAGAGTCTGGGCCTTGAAGTAGAAGAGATTGACTATACATTTCATGAAGCTAGGTATTGTGCCCGACTGGTTTATTGTGATTTCCCCAATCTGTACCTAGAACATAACAGATGTTTAGTAGATGTTTGTAGAATTTATTAACTTATTTATGATGAGACATTCCTGTTCAAAACAGTTTTCAATTATATGATCATGTGCTGGTAAAACAGACAAGATGACGGTGTTCATTACCAGTAATTCACAAAGTTCACCACGGCTCTGAAGGTCTGGAGTCACTTCCGCAGAGGACTTCATATTTTGGAGAAATGGACAACTAAGTGTAAAAGTTAAAAGTTATAAAAATAGTTGTATGCATTTAAGTATTTGTGTTAGGTATTTTTGTTGTTGTTGTTGCTGTTGTTGTTTGTTTTGTTTTTTCAGAGACAGGGTCTCACTATGTTGCCCAGGCTGTTCTGGTTTCAAACTTCTGGCCTTGAGCAATTCTCCTCCCTAGGCATCCCAAAGTGCTGGGATGATAGGTGTGAGCCGCCAGGCCTGGCCTTGTATTAGGTTTTTAAAAACACTATTAGAGTTTTAGTGACAAGAATTAAGTATAAAACTATCATTTCCAGTGATTCTCTCTGTCAGTGTCATCAGGTAAGGCACTTAGGTTGTGGCTCTCTGCAAGAGAAATGTAAATGGTTTATAAAGTAACGGTAAAGGATATCAAGGGAATTTGGTGGAATGAGTGCGTATATGACACTCCTCCATGCAACCAACAAAAATGAACTTAAAGAATCAAAAATAGGAAAAAAAAAACCCTCTATTTATGAATTCTGGAACAAAAAACAACATAGTGGAAAAACTGGTGAAATCCAAATAAACTCTGGATTTTAGTAAATAGTAATGTACAGTATATGAATTGGTACACTGATGATTTTGACAAATATGCTAGTGTAAGATGTTAGCATTAGGGTAAATTGGGTATGGCAATATATAGGAACTCTTTGTATTACTTTGCACTTTCTGCAAATCTAAATAATTTCAAATAAAAATTTATTAAAAAAAGAAAAAAACTCTGTGAGTGCGGTGGTTCACACCCAAAATCCCAGCACTTTGGGAGGCCGAGGCGGGCAGATCACTTGAGGCCAGAAGTTTGAGACCAGCCTGGCCAACATGGCAAAACCCTGTCTCTATTAAAAAGAAAATTCCAAAATTAACCAGGCAGTGGTGGCGCACACCTGTAGTCCTAGCTACTTAGGAGGCTGGGGCACAAGAATCGCTTGAACCTGGGAGGCGGAGGTTGCAGTGAGCTGAGATTGTGCCACTGCACTCTAGTCTGGGCAATGGAGTGAGACTCTGTCTCAAAACAAAACAAAAAACAAACAAGGCCAGGCATGGTGGCTCACGCCTGTAATCCCAGCAGTTCGGGAGGCTGAGGCGGGTGGATCACTTGAGGTCAGGAGTTTGAGACCAACCTGACCAACATGGTGAAACCTCACCTCTACTAAAAATACAAAAATTAGCCGGGCGTTGTGGCGGACGCCTGTAATCCCAGCGACTTGGGAGGCTGAGGCAGGAGAATTGCTTGAACCCAAGAGGCAGAAGTTGAAGTAAGCCGAGATCGCACCATTGCACTCTAGCCTGGGCAACAGGAGTGAAACTCTGTCTCAAAAACAAACAAACAAACAAACAAAAAACTAACCAACCACAAACCACTCCATTGCCAGGTGCAATGGCTCATGCCTGTAATCCCAGCACTTTGGGAAGCCAAAGTAGGAGTTTCACTTGAGGTCAGAAGTTCAAGACCAGACCAACCTGTGCAACATAGAGAGACCTCCTCTAAAAATTAGCTAGCAGGGTGGCATGCATGTATAGTCCCAGCTACTTGGGGGTGCTGAGGCAAGAAGATCACTTGAGGCCAGGAGGTTGGGGCTACAGTGAGCCGTGATTGCATCACTGCACTCCAGCCTGGGTGACAGAGTAAGACCCTGTCTTAAACAAACAAAAAATTAAAAAAGAAACCCTCCGTCAGTATCAAAAGAAAAGAATGGCCACAAACATACTCTCTAAAAACTACTTGCCAATCTCGTGAAACTAGGACGCAAATACCCTCTAAACTCAGGTTTGATGTATGCTTGAAGAACAAGAGAGAAAGTTCAAAAAGAGCTCTAGTTGCAATTATTAAAATGGACAGATGAGAACTATACATGTGAGTAAGTCAGTGGCCTATTCCATGCTGTAGAATCACTGGAGAGCAGGAGTAAAGCAAAGGGACACTTTTTTTTTTTTTTTTTTTTTGAGACAAGGTCTCACTCTTTTGTCCAGGCTTGAGGGTAGTGACACGACCAAGGATCAATGTAGCCTCCAACTCCCAGGCTCAAGTGATCCTCCCACCTCAGCCTCCCAAGTAACTGGGACTACAGGCACGTGCCACCATGCCAGGCTAATTTTTTTTTTTTCTGGGCTCAAGGTATCCTCCCACCTCAGTTTCCCAAAGTGCTGGGATTACAGGCGTGAGCCACTGCATGTGGCCCAGATACTTCATTTGTATTGCCTTCAGGTGACTTGGCGATGAGTCCAGAAATAGAAGCATAGCTTCAGGAAAACAACAAGTAGAACTTTTAACGTTTCTGTCCAAAGTCAGCCATGTAGAGGTAAATAAAAACAAACCCATAGGGAAGGGGTGAAGTGGCTTACAAAAGAAAAAAAATATTTTAATAGGCCCATCAAGGAAAAGAACTATGAAGGAAGGTAAAATATAAACTTATTCATACAAACAAATGCCAAATAAAGTCAGTTGCCAGCATAACTGCACTACAAAAAATGTGAAAGGGACCAGGCACAGTGGTTCACCCCTGTAATCCCAGCACTTTGGGAGGCTGAGGCAGGCAGATCATGAGGTCAGGAGTTCAAGACCAGCCTGGCCAACATGGTGAAACTCTATCTCTACTAAAAATACAAAAATTAGCCTGGCATGGTGGTGGGCACCTGTAATCCTAGCTACTCAGGAGGTTGAGGCAGGAGAATCACTTGAACCCGGGAGGCAGAGGTTGCAGTCAGCCGAGATCGTGGCGCTGAACTCCAGCCTAGGAGACAGAGCAAGACTCCATCTCAAAAAAAAAAAAAAAAAAAAAAAGTGAAAGGAAGCACATCATTTAAAAGGAAAATGATAGCAGATGGAAATTTGGTTCTACTCAAAGGAATGAAAAGTACCAGGAATGATAAGATAACTAAGAGGGCAAATATGAAAGACTTTTGCCGTTGTAAAAATGTACTTAAATTGTTTAAAGCAAAGATATAACATTATATTGTAAGATTTATTAAAGTACATGGAAATAAAATGTATGACAATAGCACAAAGGATGAGAGGGGAGAAATGGAAATATACTATTGTATGGTTCATACATTTTATGTCAAGTGTTATATATTTTTTTGACCCAGAGTCTCACTGTGTCACCCAGGCTGGAGTGCAGTGGCACGATCTCAGCTTTCTGCAGCGTCTGCTTCCTGGGTTCAAGCAATTCTCGTGCCTCAGCCTCCCAAGCAGCTGGGATTACAGGTGTGTGCCACCACACCCAGCTAATTTTTTTGTATTTTTAGTAGAGACGGGGTTTCACCATGTTGCCCAGGTTGCTCTGGAACTCTTGACCTCAAGTGATCTGCCTGCCTCAGCCTCCCAAATTACCGGGATTACAGGCATGAGCCACTGCACCCAGCTGTTATAATATTTTTGAAGATTACTATGATATGTTAAATAGGCATATGGTAAACTCTAGAGCAAGTAGTAAAAAGGTAAAATAAGGATTAATAGCTAATAAGCTGACAGAAATAAAATGGAGTACAAAAAAAAATACTCAAGGAGGGGGTAGAAAAAAGAAAAAAAAAAAAACCCTAAACCCTAGGAAGTCAGGAAAAGAAAAAGAAACAAAGAAGTGATGAAATAAATAGAAAGCAAATGGTAAAATAGGTTTAAATCCAACCATATTCATAATTGCATTAAATTTAAACGTTCTAAACATTCCAATTAGAAAGCAGTTATTGTCAGACTCTTAAAAAGCAAGACCTGGCCAGGCGTGGTGGCTTACGCCTGTAATCCCAGCACTTTGGGAGGCCAAGGCAGGTGGATCATGAGGTCAGGAGATCGAGACCATCCTGGCTAACACGGTGAAACCCCGTCTCTACTAAAAATACAAAAAATTAGCCAGGTGTGGTGGCGGGGTGCCTGTAGTCCCAGCTACTCGCGAGGCTGAGGCAGGAGAATGGTGTGAACCCAGGAGGCGGAGCTTGCAGTGAGCCAAGATCGTGCCACTGCACTCCAGCCTGGGCGACAGAGCAAGACTCCGTCTCAAAAAAAAAAAAAAAGAGAAAACCTGGCTGGATGTGGTGGCTCACACCTCCATCTCAAAAAAAAAGCAAGACCTGCTGGGTTCAGTGGTCCACACCTGTAATCCCAGCACTCTGGGAAGACAAGGCAGGAGAATTGCTTGTGGCTAGGTGTTCGAGATCAGACTGGGCAACATAGTGAGACCTTGTCTCTATAAAAAACTAACAAACTTAGCCAGGCTTGGTGGCATGTGCCTGTAGTCCCAGCTACTCAGGAGTCTGAGGTGGGAGGATTGCTTGAGCCTGGGAAGTCCAGGCTGCAGTGAGTCAAGACTGCACCACTGCACTCCAGCGTAGGCAACAGAGCGAGTCTGTCTCATAAACAAATAAAAAATAAAATAAAAGACCCCACTGTGTTGTTGCCTATAACAATTCACTTTAAGGCTGGGTGCAGTGGCTCATGCCTGTAATCTCAACACTTAGGGTGGCAGAGGTGGGAGGACAGCTTGAGCCCAGGAGTTTGAGATCTGCCTGGGCAACATAGTGAGACCCCGTTACCCACAAAAAGGAAAAGGAAAAAACAAGAATTGACTTTAAATATAGTCACAGATAGATTAAAAAGAAAATAATCTAAAAGATGTAACATGAAAAAACTAATAAAGGCCTAAAAAATACTATCAAGGATAAAGAGGGATATTTCTGTTTTTTAGAGACAAAGTTTTACTCTGTCACCCAGGCCACAGTACAGTGGCACAATCATAGCTCATTGCAACCTATACTCCTGAGCTCAAGCGATTCTCCTGCCTCTGCCTCCCAGGTAGCTGGGACTACAGATGCATGCTACCACACCCTGTTTGTTTTAAAAATTTTTTGTAGAAATGGAGTCTAGCTATGTTGCAAAGGCTAGTCTCAAACTCCTCGCCTTGTGCACTCCTCCCACCTCAGCCTCCCAAAGTGCTGGGATTATAGGTGTGAACCACCATGCCTGCTTGGGATATTTAATATATTCTCTGGAATATGAAAGACCAAAGGGCAAAAAAATAGCTAAGACACACTCTTGAAGAGAAAGAACAAGACTATTCTGCAGGAAAATATGAAAATAAGCTCAACTGCCAGGCGCGGTGGCTCACACCTGTAATCCCAGCACTTTGGGAGGCTGAGGTGGGTGGATCACCTGAGGTTGGGAGTCCGAGACCAGCCTGACCAACATGGAGAAACCCCATCTCTACTAAAAATACAAAATTAGCTGGGCGTGGTGGCACATGCCTGTAATCCCAGCTACTCGGGAGGCTGAGGCAGGAGAATCACTTGAACCTGGGAGGCGGAGGTTGTGGTGAGCCGAGATCGTGCCATTGCACTCCAGCCTGGGCAACAAGAGTGAAACTCCCGTCTCAAAAAAAAAAAAAGAAAGAAAAAAAGAAGAAGAAAATAAGCTTAACATTATTAGTAATTACACTGACAAAAATTAAAATTTGGGCAATACCAAGTTAGTGAGGAAGCAAATCAATAGAAACGCATCTAGGCCAATGGGAATGTAAATCAGTGCAACCACTTGGGAAAAAGCTTTGCATTATCTAGTGGAGTTGAACACCCGCAAAGTTCTATGACTCTGCAATTCTTTACTTTGTTATGTATCCTAGAGAAACACACATGAGCACTGGAAAATATGTACAAGAATGTTCATAGGGCATTATTTGAATTTGCAACACTCTGAAAACGACCCACGAGGTTAATCAACAGTAAAATAAGTTATTATATATTCATAAAATAATACACTATTTACCAATGAAAACAAGTGAACTACAACTGTGTAGTACATATAAATATGGATGAATCTCAAAAACATCGTGGAGTAAAACCAGCCAATTACAAGAAGAATCATGCAGTATGCTTCTTATTTGAACTTCAAGAATAGACAAAGCTAAATATGTTTAAGGATGTATATGTAGTTGGTAAAACCACAAAGAGAAGCAAGGGAATAATTAACCCAAACTGAGCATCACATTTACCTCTGGATTGGAGGGACAGGGATATAATCAGAATTAGGGGGTGGTTGGCATGCAGAGTTGTTTTTTGTTTTTTGATTTTTTTTTTTTGAGACAGAGTCACGCTCTGTCGCCCAGGAGTGCAATGGCGCCATCTTGGCTCACTGCAACTTCCGCCTCCCAGGTTCAAGCCATTCTCCTGCCTCAGCCTCCCTAATAGCTGGGACTACAGGCGTGTGTCACCAGGCCCGGTTAAATTTTTCTGTTTTTTAACAGAGATGGGGTTTCACCATGTTGCCCAGGCTGGTCTCGAACTCTTGAGCTCAGACAATCTGCCCACATCGGCCTCCCAAAGTGCTGAGATTACAGGCGTGAGTCACTGCACCCGGCCGCAGGGGTCTTTTAAGGCATTGATAATGTCCAATTTCTTGACTTTACTAGGAGGTTCATAGGTTGCTTTTTATTCATTCTTTAAAGCATACATAAAAATTTTAGGTAATCATTTGGAGACATACTGGTTTGCAGTTTTTTTAAGAGGCAAAGGAAGAGTAAAAATCCAAAAAGGAGTTGGCTGGGAGCAGTGGCTCATGCCTGTAATCCAAGTACTTTGGGAGGCTGAAGCAGAAGGATCATTTGGAGCCAGGAGTTTGAGACCAGCCTGGGCAACAAAGCAAGACCCCATCTCTACAAAAAAAAACTTTAAAAAATTAGTCGGGCATGGTGACACATGCTTGTAGTCCTAGCTACTTGGGAGGCTGAGGTGGGAGGATCACTTGAGCCCAGGAATTTGAGGCTACAGTCAGCTAGGATTGTACCACTGCACTTGCTCCAGCCTGGGTGACAGAGCCGAGACCCAGTCTCTTAACAAAAAAACACTAAAGGCCAGGTGTGGCGGCTCACACCTGTAATCCCAGCACTTTGGGAGGCTGAGGCAGGAGGATCACTTGAGGTCAGGAGTTCAAGACCAGCCTGGCCAACATGGTGAAACCCCGTCTCTACTAAAAGTACAAAAAATTAGCCAGGCATGGTGGGGAGGTACCTGTAATCCCAGCTACTTGGGAAGCTGAGGCAGGAGAATCGCTTGAACCCGGGAGGCGGAGGTTGCAGTGAGCCGAGATCACGCCACTGCACTCCAGCCTGGGTGACAGAGTGAGACTCCATCTCAAAAACAACAACAACAAAACACTAAAACTAATAATAATAATAATAGTATAAAAGGGAGTTGATCGATTCCAGAGTAAGTTCTAAATAAGACTAGACTGCATCCTAGCTTATCCTTCCAAGAATTAAGTAGAATGTCCCCATTGTTCTCAATAATTTATTATACACTAAGCCCAAATAAGAAAGAAAAATGAGGTAACTACTGCTATCAAAATACCTTCAAGGCAATAAAATTAGATAGAAGTATTCATTTTGTTTTATTTTTGTTTTTACCACTATACAAATGAGCAGGAAGCATTCATTTTAAAATCTGTATGTGTTCATATTCATTTCTAAAAAAAAAACTCTTACTAATTACATAGTGAAAACACAAATTTCTTCTTGCAATTAAACATTTCTAAAGAGTTTGATGGGTAAAAAAAAATTAAGTTTAAAGATTCATAGAAAAGAAATATTTCTTCATAAAATTTTAGAACAGATATTTTTCTGAAAGCTTCCAGCACAGGAAAAAAAAAAATTTTGTTTGCAGTAAAAGGATTGACAAGCAGAAAGGCATGGAACTTCTCGACAGCACATTAGGAACCAGTAGAAATGTAGCAGTGCCTCTACAATTTAGAATTAAAATGACTTCCAACCTATAATTCTACACCTAGCTAAACTATCAAATAAGTGTGAGAATACAGGAAAAACATATATCTAGATAGATCTATATGTCTGTATATGCATTATATGCAACTAAAAGTGTGTATTTCTTATGCAGTCTTTCCCAGGGAACTCCGATGAAGTGTTCCAACAAAATGAGCGAGTGAACCAAGAAGAGGATGACATTAGATCCAGGAGATACAACAGAGGAGATAATCTCCAGGATGCCTGTGAAGAAAGATCCCTGGATCCCAGGATGATTATAGGACAAGTTGTTCATAATCCAGCAGGCCAGAAGACTTCCAGGGAAACTCATTTCAAGATGAAAATGGACCAGCCGCAGTGGCTCACGCCTGTAATACCAGCACTTTGGGAGGCTGAGGCAGGCGGATCACTTGAGGTCAGGAGTTTGAAACTAGCCTGGCCAACGTGGCAAAACTCCATCTCTATTAAAAATACAAAAATTAGCCAGGCATAGTGGTGCATGCCTGTAGTCCCAGCTACTTGGGATGCTGAGGCAGGAAGAATTGCTTGAACCTGGGAGGCAGAGTCTGCAGTGAGCCGAGATCATGCCACTGCACTCCAGCCTGGGTGACAGAGCCAGACTCCGTCTCAAAAAAAAAAAGAAAAAGAAAAAAAAAATGATGACTCTTTCAAGAAATGAAAATGATGAGATATCTGGTAGGTCTGAATGACTTAAGAGGAGATTTAAACATTTGGGATAAGTTGAAGATGAGCTGGTGTTCGTCTTCATTTATTTCATTTAAATAAATAAAATTATTAATACATGAATTTTATCTCAAGAAACAAAAATAAGCAATGTACATAAAAATTAAGCAGATGGCTGGCCGGGCGCGGTGGCTCACGCCTGTAATCAGAGCACTTTGGGAGGCTGAGGCGGGTGGATCACAAGGTCAGGAGATGGAGACCATCCTGGCTAACACGGTGAAACCCCGTCTCTACTAAAAAAATAAATAAAAAATAAATTAGCCGGGCGTGATGGCAGGTGCCTGTAGTCCCAGCTACTCGGGAGGCTGAGGCAGGAGAATGGCATGAACCCAGGAGGCGGAGGTTGCAGTGAGTGAGATCACGCCATTGCACTCCAGCCTGGGCGACAAAGTGAGACTCCATCTCAAAAAAAAAAAAAAAAAAAAAAAAAAAATTAAGCAGATGGCTATAATTTTTTTAAAAATAGAAAAGTGTTGATGAGAAATGGGAAACCTCATACATTGTTGGTCAAACTGTATGCTTCCATTTAGAGGAAATAGTCAGAACAAATAAATCCATAGACACCAATTAGGTTGGTGTATCCCAGGGGCTGGGCATGGAGTGGGGTGGAGAGAGAAGGAGGGCCTGCTTAGTGGATACAGAGTTTTCTTTGGGGGCGATGAAAGTGTTTTGGAACTAGATAGAGGGGGTGGTTGCACAACATTGTTGTTGGTGGGAATTTAAAATGGTGCAAGCACTGTGGAAAAAACAGTTTAGCATTTCCTCAAAAAGTTAAAACAGGCCAGGCGCTGTGGCTCACGCTTGTAATTCCAGCACTTTGGGAGGCCAAGCCAGGTGGATCACTTGAGGTCAGGAGTTTGAGACCAGCCTAGCCAACATGGTGAAACCCTAAAAATACAAAAAATTAGCCGGGCATGGTGGCAGACACCTGTAATCCCAGCTACTCAGGAGACTGAGGCAGGAAAATTGCTTGAACCTGGGAGGCGGAGGTTGCAGTGAGCTGAGATCGCACCGCTGCACTCCAGCCTGAGCGACAGAGTGAGACTCTGTGTGAGAAAAAAAAAAAAAAAGTAAAAACATAGAATTACTATACAGCTAGCAATATCGTTGTTAGGTATATGCCCCAGAGACTTGAATACAGTTACATGCTCCATCAGATACCTGTACCCAAATGTTCCTATCGGTATTACTCATGGTAGCCAAAAGGTAGAAACAACCCAAATATCTACAAATAGATGAATGGATAAATAAAATGCAGTGTATCCATATGGAATATTACTTGGTCTCAAAAGGAAGGAAGTACTTATGCAAGCTACAACATGGATAAACTTCAAAACAATATGCCAAGTGAAAGAATCCAAATGCAAAAGGTCAAACGGTATGCTTCCATTTAGAGGAAATAGTCAGAACAAATAAATCCATAGACACCAATTAGGTTGGTGTATCCCAGGGGCTGGGCATGGAGTGGGGTGGAGAGAGGAGGGGGGCCTGCTTGATGGATACAGAGTTTTCTTTGGGGGCGATGAAAGTGTTTTGGAACTAGATAGAGGGGGTGGTTGCACAACATTGTGAATGTACTATAATAAATGCCACAGAATTGTGTACTCTAAAATGGTTTAATTGCTGTGCATGGTGGCTCACGCCTATAATCCCAGCACTTTGGGAAGCCAGGATGGGAAGACTGCTTGAGCCTAGAAGTCTGAGAGCAGCCTGGGCAACATAGAGAGACCCTGTCTCTTAAAAAAAAAAAAAAAAAATTAGCTGGGTGTGAAGACATGTGCCTGTAGTCCCAGCTACTTGGGAGGCTGAGCGAGGAAGATTGCTTGAGCCAGAGAGGTCAAGGCTGCAGTGAGCCATGATTGCACCACTGCACTCCAACCTGGGCAAGAGAGAGAACCTGTCACAAAAAATAATAAATAAATAAATAAAATGGTTACTACCTGAATTTTACCTCAGGAAAAAAAAATAAGCTAACATACCAACAGGACAGTTATTACTTCCTAAAAAAATAAAAGGATATACAGGAAGGGAAAAATAAATAAAAATTTACCACAAGCTTCAGCTCCACATAGCATTTGTATAGTCATGATAATGTAAACATGTAATGTGAATATATGAATCTAGCCAAAACTATGCCATAACTATAAAGAGGGGAAGGCTAGTACAGGAAGGGGGTCATGGAGCAAAGGGATGAAAGACATGAAGACTCATCCTTCATAGCCTGAATCCGAGGAGTGGATAAAGACTCAATCTAAAGATAAAATAAGGCAGGAAATGAGGAAAAAGAAAAAAACTGTTGAAGTGCATCCAAAGTTGCAGATGGTTAACATTCATTCCACTCACTTGGGAAAACATCTGGTGTGATCGTCTAATGGGTCATCACCTTCCTGCCATTTCTCTAAACACCCTCCACAGGAAAAGCACTGGACGATGTCCTTTATACCTAAAAGTAAGGAAACTTGATCAGTGCCACTGGCATGGGCATCTGTCCATTAACATGCAGATAATAACCACCAGACCTGTAATAGTGAAAGCCTATTCAGTCTCCAGTTGGGTTTTGTGACAGTCAGAAGTTGGTTACCAGTGAGGCAATTTTCTATATAAGACTCTGTCCACCAATGGGGTAACTGGCAAGTAGTCATTGAATGCTCCTACACACCATGCACTTTGATGCACACCATCCCTCTGCCCCATTCTCCTTTGATCAACAAACAGATTGGCAACCAGAATCTGGAATTGAAGCTCCATGAGGGGGCTGGGCGCAGTGGCTCATGCCTGTAATCCCAGCACTTTGGGAGGCCAAGGCCAGCGGATCTCCTGAGGTCAGGAGTCTGAGACCAGCCTGGCCAACACGGTGAAACCCTGTCTCTACTAAAAATACAAAAATTAGCTGGGCATGGTGGCACATGCCTGTAATGCCAGCTACTCAGGAGGCTGAGGCACAAGAATCGCTTGAACCCAGGAGACGGAGGTTGCAGTGAACCAAGATAACGCCATTGCACTCCAGCCTGGGCAACAAGAGTGAAACTCTGTCTCAAAAAATAAAAATAAAAATAAGCTCTATGAGGGTAGAGGTTTTTGCTCACTAATGAATGACATGAACCTAGAAAAGTGCTTGACACTCATGTGGCACTCAATTAGTATTCGTTTAATGAATGAATCAGAAAGAATATATTTAGAGCTCACGGAAAAAAAAATACCAGCAAATCTAGCAGCCCTTATGTAAGTGAATGCATGAAGAATTAATTGCCTCTTACCACATTATTGCCATGTTTATTACACCAGAAATAGGATTAAGTCTCTTTGTGAAATTATATTTCTTTGGAAAGAAATTGGTATTTAGCTCTGCAAAAGGATCAAACTAGAAACAGAGCATTTCTCATCTTCCTTCCACTCTGGGAAAGCTGGGGCAGAGGAAAGCCTCCCAGAAATATGAGATCCTAGAGCTTGCAAGATCTGAAAACAGTCAGAGATGATTAGGATTTGTGTGGAGTGGTGGAGGATTGGAAAGGAAGAGGGGGAGCACACTGGTCAGAGGGGTCTTGCGGAAGGCTGACAAGAGGAAGACACAGTAGAGTAGGGAGAAATGGCAAACACTCTTTCCAAAGGCTTAAGATTGTGAGGCAGTCAGATTTTTTTTTTCCAATGGCACATGTCTGTTAGGTAGAGTGACAACTATATTCTGCTTCTCTGTGTTGCTCTATGGTATTTGTGACAACTACTTGATCTCTCAGTTAAAGATCTGCATTAACCTCCACTGTAACTTATGCATGTGTTCGGTTTGAGCAAGACCAGCAAGGTACCTAGGAACCTTTCCCTGATCATCTTGTATTTCAGGCAGAGATTTAGCTGACAGGAACCAGCCCATCATTTATAGATTGCAGAGGTGCTTCCTAATGACCAGCAGCTAAAGAGAAAATGCCACAATCTGGTGGAAGGCTCTACGTGTTTAGGAATCATGAAAATTAATTTCCTGATTTTCTCCTGCAGGCAGAATGTGGCAAAGATTGCTATCCATGTTCCTATTATCTCAAATCCTTCCATACTAATAGAAATCCCAATATTTAGCTGGGCACATTGTCACCCAGGAAAAAGATTAGGTTTCCCAGCTCCTCTTACAGCTAGGTATGGTCATCTGACTAATAATAATAATAATAATTATTATTATTATTATTATTATTTTTGAGACAGAGTTTCACTCTTGTTGCCCAGGCTGGAGTGCAATAGCATGATCTTGACTCCCCGCAACCTCCACGTCCCAGGTTCAAGCGATTCTCCTGCCTCAGCCTCCCAAGTAGCTGGGATTACAGGCACCCGCCACCATGCCTGGCTAATTCTTTGTATTTTTAGTAGAGACAGAGTTTCACCATATTGGCCAGGCTGGTCTCAAACTCCTGACCTCAGGTGATCCACCCACCTCGGCCTCCCAAAGTGCTGGGATTACAGGCGTGAGCCACCATGCCCGGCCCATCCAACTAAGTTCTGATTAAAGAAATATAAGCAGAAGTGTCCTGTGACAGTTTCTAGGAGCACTTTGTCAGGGGACAAGAGGTGAGGAGAGTAATGTGTAGAAAGAAAAGACATGATAATTATCACAAATAGAATATTTGTATTCATTGTTAGTCCAGACCTTAAGGTTTCAAATTTGAAGGTTTACCACCTAAGGGAGGAATAGAAAACTGGGAGAGGATTTATGATGCAGGAAAGAAAAGAGATGTATGCCAGGTGCAGTGGCTCACACCTGTAATCCCAGCATTTTGGGAGGCCAAGGCAGGAGGATTACTTGAGCCCAGGAGGTTGAGGCTGCAGTGAGCCATGATCTCGCCACTGCCCTCCAGCCTGGATGACCATGTCTCAAAAAAAATAGAAAGAAAAGAAAACGAATCTATAAGAAATGCTGAAGAGAGGCCTGGCGCGATGGCTCACACCTGTAATCCCAGCATTTGGGAGGCCAAGGCGGGCAGATCACGAGATCAGGAGATCAAGAGCATTCTGACTAGCATGGTGAAACCCTGTCTCTACTAAAAATACAAAAAAGTAGCTGGGCGTGGTGGCAGGCGCCTGTGGTTCCAGCTACTCCAGAGGCTGAGGAAGGAGAATCTCTTGAACCCGGGAGGTGGAGGTTGCAGTGAGCCAAGATCTGCATTCCAGCCTGGGCAACTCTGTCTCCAAGGGGGAAAAAAAAAGAAAAGAAAAAGAAACGCTGAAGCTAGTGGACATTGCTGAGTGTAGCTAAACGTAAGCCCAGGAGCATAAAGTCTATGTGGGAATTAAAGGTCAAGCAAGCAAGTGGGCACAACCTACTGACTCACCTGTGTAGAAAAGACCTGCTTTGGCCAGTGCTGCAACTCCCACAGCTGATTCCCGGGGCCAGTCCTTAAAAGAGTCCAGCCGTAGTTCTTCGTAAGCAAAGATGCTGTCATTGCAATAAGCTTGAATAAAAAGCACAAGGTGAGACCAGCAGGCTTTAGTCTTTTTTTTTTCTATATCTTTATTGCTGCTGCACAAATTAAAGAGACCAGTAGGCTTTGATATTGCAAGTATCAGCGTTCAAGTTGTCCCTTCACAGTTACAGATGGAATGATGTCTAGAGTTTGCTTCAAAATAAACGGGGCGGGGCGGGGGGGACGACAAAAAGAGATAGGGACAAAAAATCAAAAGAAGAAATAAACAAGCAAAGCCTTTGGAAAATGTTTGAGTTTTTACCTGATGCCATAGGTAATTCTCTCTGGACCCAGGAATTCACAAAATGTTCTCCCTGAGGGAAATTAAAATTCAAGTTGTTGATTATCTGACTTTTTTTTTTTTTTTTTTTTTGTTTGAGGCAGAGTCTCACTCTGTTGCCCAGGCTGAAGTGCAGTGGCAGGTTCTCGTCTCACTGCAACCTCCGCCTCCTGGGTTCAAGTGATTCTCCTGCCTCAGCCTCCCGAGCAGTACAGGCATGTGCCACCACACCCGGCTAATTTTTTTTTTTTTTTTTGTATTTTTAGTAGAGACAGACACGATGTTGGAGGTCTTTTTTTTTTTTTTTTTTTTTTTTTGAGACAGAGTCTCGCTCTGTCGTCCAGGCTGGAGCACAGTGGCACGACCTTGGCTCACTACAAGCTCCGCCTCCCAGGTTCACGCCATTCTCCTGCCTCAGCCTCCCGAGTAGCTGGGACCACAGGCGCCTGCCACCATGCCGGGCTAATTTTTTTTTTTTTTGTATTTTTAGTAGAGATGGGGTTTCACCATGTTAGCCAGGATGGTCTCTATCTCCTGACCTCATCATCCGTCCGTCTCGGCCTCCCAAAGTGCTGGGATTACAGACGTGAGCCACTGCACCCGGCCCATGTTGGAGGTCTTGAGGCTGGTCTCGAACACCTGATCTCAAGTGATCTGCCCAGCTCGGCCTCCCAAAGGGCTGGGATTACAGGCATGAGCTACTGCGCCCAGCCTGATTGTTTGACTTATGAAGTATATACCTATCTATGAACAAGAACTGAAGGAACTTTACCCCAGAATGAAGAGTTTCACTGGATGGAACGGCAGAGTCGGAGGAGAATTATTCCTTTAATTTTTATTTCTGTTGATGTTGCAATTGTTTTTATGCAGTGCAAGCAAACATACACACACACACACACACACACACACACACACACACACACACGCATGCAAGCTGTGAATGTTTATGCATACTCAGGAGGAAGCCTTCTCAGGGTCACTGTTTCCGGAAACTGACCTTGAAAACAGACCTGCATTTAAATATCACAGATGTACTTTGACGAATGAGGAAGTAAGAGACATAGAATGGTAACTAAATTCATCAGGGTATTATATATTGAGCAACTGATTCTTCTGGGAAAGCTGCACCCAGTTTCTTTTTGAGGAAACACCTCTCTTCCCCCACTGTCAGGCCATGTTCTCTATAGAGTTCTGGTCTCCTGAGTCATGTTAATCAATAAATTCTCATTTTTGTTTAAGCCAGTTTGGATTCGATTTCCCATCACTCTCCACTAGGAAATTTTTACTGATTCAGGATAGTTAGCCAGCTAGGAAGAGCCAGCTCTGCAGCCCACTGTGGGTGACAGCGCCTAGGTCAGGAGATCTTAGCAAGCCTGCAGATAGGGGCAGCAGAGGGAAGCTGGGGCAAGTGGCTTCATTCATAAAGGGGAAGACTATCAGGAAGGCAAGCAGAGCCCGTCAGAAGCCAGCCCTGGAAAAAGAAAAAGGCTCTAGGTCAGCAAGTGAATGTGATATTTTTCACTTTGAAGATGGGAGCCAGGGGAATGAAAGGAGAAAGGAAGAAAGAAATCAAACCCATGACATAAAAAGAATGCCTATGCCCTTCTGAGTCAGACACTTACAGGTAATCCAAAAACTTGAGAAAAAAATTGCTGTTATACATTACCGTTATGTCAACAAATCCCTTGTAGCTTTGAATATACTGGGTAATTTCCTCTGAGGATTTCTTACTCCGAAGAAATTCACATCTGTAATTAATAAATATAATTAAAATTTACCCCAGTACTGTGATAGAGCTGTCCTATATCACAATGAACATTTATAAAGACGTATTGAATTGTTGAATTTTATTATACTTCAATAAAATTGCCAAAAAATTTACCACAAAACTTAGGAGAATTACCATTATTCTCATATAATTATTTGTTATTTCTATTAGTGACAACATGTGTAGTTATTTAAAATTAAATCTTCAGGTTAACTTTTTTCTTGAAATAAAACATGCAATACAATCAAAGAGACTGATTTACAGTAAATATAGGATGGAGCTTTTGTTTTTTGGAATTAAGCAGTGGTGACTAAATCTAGTCGCTAGGGTTATATGAAAGCTACTGGCAGTAAAGAGAACTATATTTAAAATAATAGGCCAGACGCAGTGGCTCACATCCAGGAGTTCAAGACTAGCCTGGGCAACATGGCAAAACCCCATCTCCACAAAAAATACAAAAATTAGCCGGGCATGGTGCCACACCTCTGTAGTCCCAGCTACTCAGGAGGCTGAAGGGGGAGGATCACCTGAGCCCGGGGAGGTAGAGGCTGCACTGAGCCATGATCAGGCTGCTACACTCCAGCCTGGGCAACAGACTGAGACCCAGTCTCAAAAGTAAATACAAAAAATCTTTTTAAGATAACAATATATTTATCTACTGAACAAAAAATTACCATGCATTAAAAAGTAATGGCTATTAGGCCAGGCGTGATGGCTCACGCCTGGAATCCCAGCACTTTGGGAGGCCGAGACAGGTGGATCACGAGGTCAGGAGTTCGAGACCAGCCTGGCCAAGATGGTGAAACCCTGTCTCTACTAAAAGTACAAAAATTAGCTGGGTGTGGTGGCAGGCGCCTGTAATCCCAGCTACTTGGGAGGCTGAGGCAGGAGAATCGCTTGAACCTGGGAGGTGGAGGTTGCAGTGAGCTGAAATCATGCCACTGCACTCTAGCCTGGGCAACAGAGCAAGACTCAATCTCAAAAAAAACCAAAAACAAAAAAAGTAACGGATGTTAATGGATAATTTTTGATTTTTTTAAAAAAGAGCACACTGAATACCATTTAAAAACATATTCCTTTCCCATAAAAGAGAAGCAGTTTTAAAATTAACTTTTAAAATTTCCTCCAATTCAGCTGGGCATGGGGGATCATGCCTGTAATCCCAGCACTTTTGGAGGTTGAGGCGGGTGGATCACTTGAGGCCTGGAGTTTGAGACCAGCCTGGTCAACATGGTGAAACCCTGTCTCCATCAAAACTACAAAAATTAGCCTGGCATGGTGGCATGCGCCTTGTAGTTCCAGCTGCTCTGGAGGCTGAGGCAGGAGAATTGCTTGAACCCGAGAGGTGGAGGTTGCAGTGAGCCGAGATCACGCCACTGCACTCCAGCCTAGGCAACGAGAGCGATACTTCGACTCAAAAAAAGAGAAGTTATCTCTAGGTAAGATCATGATGGAAATTTTCATCTTACTTTATACCTTTCACTGTTGAAATTATTTTACAGTTGAAGTAAAGGAAATTTTACAATATCCAACAAGAGCCGATGTCATTTATTTAATATCAAAATTAATATTGGAAAAATGTCTATACTTTAGGCTACCACCCATCTGCCTGAATTAATCAGCATTAATACTTAATTTTAAATATTACCTGTCAACGCAGGTCACTGAATGTGATCTCCTTTAAGGTATTATCATGTAATAAACTGCTACAAAAAGTCTAATTCTCTCAAGAGTTTTATAGTCATCCACTTCATTTTCAGGTCAACATTTTAACATATTTTCCCATATTTTTTTCTGAAGCTTTAATCTCTGCAAAGCCCATCTTTAAATTTGAAGGAAAAGGTAGAAGAGTGAGGAGCAGCAGTAATTAACTTGAATTTGGAACTTGGATATAACTAAAGACACATTTTGCTTCTTCATTTTTATGTCAGTTTGCAAAGGAAACAGTTATGATTTTAGCTAAATACAGAAATTTTTTTCTTTTTTCTTTTTAAAATTCTACTTGTATCACATTTCAAAACCTACTCTGAATTTTCACTCAGTTCCCACAATATTACCATAATTCTTTGAGCTGTTGGCAAAATGGATCCATTTTATAAAGTCATGCCTTTTGCATTGAGCTTTTGCCTGTCTCATATATTTAGATAAATTTGAAAGCAAAAGGAATATCCACTGTGTTGAATATCTTTAATAGCATGGTTGAAATTTATAATTTGAAATTCGTAAGTTCAAAGAACATTTATCTACTGCTTGATTTTATGCTTGAAACTTCCTATGCTTCACAGCAGTTTTTTTTTAATAGGTGGACAAAAATCCTTCCTCCTATCATTCATAACAATTTTCTTTATACTTAAGTAAAATATACAGAAACTTTTAAAGGAACGCCAAAATCTTGTTCCCTCTTATTGTTGCCACATTATTTTTATTATATTACCCAACCAGGTTTTTATGGTTATGCTTATACTCTCATACAAAACAGTTTTAGAACAAATATTGAAGGAAATGCAGGGTCACAAAATGAATAAGTTTACCTTAATAACATTAATATGAACAATGATATTATTTTATTGAACTTAAAGCACGCTCTTGAGCTTAAGAGCAAAGATGTAGCCACAGTTGAACTTGTATTTATTTGGGCTATATTTGTGCTTTTAATTACTCATACTAATACACAGGAAGCTTATTTGCAACAGGATATTTATATAATTTAAAATATTTTCAGAGTTTTTGTGTGTGTTGAAATGTTAGGAAAACAGAACTCATTCTTAAGCAATGATTTGCAAAGAGCAGTGCTCATATGCAGATTTTTAAGGCATAGCCCAAATGGTTAGAAATGCTGCAAAAGTTTAATTTTCTTTTGGGTGATCTGTTGTCTGGAAAAAGCTGTTACATGTAAAAATTTGGATGCTGAAATCAAATGGCTATACCCAAATGAGCAAGAATAGTTTAAAACATTTAAATCAGCATCTGCATAAAAATTAATATAAATATTATTTATGACTGTTATGTATATATAATTATATTATGTATAAGAATATATTTATACAAATATATACTACTAGAAAATTGTATATGATGCACTATTTTATTTTATGTAATATTTTATGTATATATTTATTTACACATAATTTATATACTTTTAAGACTGTGTCCATTTTTCATTTATTCTTGGTCTCCGGTTTGAACAACGCTGCTTTATGGCATTACACTGATAATTCTCTCTACTCTTTAGTTCTCTTCCTTATCGCTTATTCATGTGTATCTTATTCCATGCTATAATGTAATGTACCATACATGTGTTGAATTTTAAAAAAAAATTAGCAGAATTTCAATGCTTTCCTATATTACTCAACATAAATATTCTCTATATAGAATGAATTGGAACAAGCTATTTGTGAATCTGAAAGGATAATCAGTGATTCTACCAATCATAGTGGTAAACTCATTCAAACTCAGCCTGTTAAAATGAGACGCTCTGCCCTATATCACTGAAAACCTCTTGATTTGCCAGATTTTTCCCTTCTTTACAAATGAAAATGCTTAGTGTTTTCTGAGTTCCTTTGCACTATCTCCCACTGGATTCAGGTCATTGATTTCATCTTCAGAACACTTGGAAAGTTTATTTTGTGGTGTCTATGAGCTAATTTATTTTTATTGCAATGTTTATTTAAAATGAAACAATAAGTACACTGAAGTTTTGTGCATTTCATTTTATGAAAATGTTATCCCAAAGGGATACAGAAGAACTAAATACAAATTTTCAAAATTTATTGTTTTTTTTTGCCTGCTGCTATATCTGAGGTTGTACTTTTGTTCTGATCTTTGTAACACCTCAAAAAAAAAATGGGTTAAGAGAAGGATGAACAGAAGAATGGATATGAGACCTATCTGATAAGGCAAGCAGATTAATAGACGAATGGAGGAATGTTTGGATGTATAGGTATATATGTGTTCATTGCACACATATGGAGGAATGTTTGGATGTATATGTATATGTGTTCATTGCACAGTTTTCAACTTTTTGTGTTGAAATTTTTATAAAAAGAAGTTGGAGAAATAAAAAACAAGAAAACAGAACCATAAGATTTTTATTTAACATTTTTGATTAAAGGAATTGTATTGCAAATTATGACTTTTTAATTTGGCAACATCCTTTTAATGGTGTTCTTTCTTTGTCCTTCTCTTTCTCTTCCTCTCTCTCTCCCTCTCTTCCCTAAAGCTCCATTCCGACTTAGACAAGGGAGAGGGCACTGCGAAATACACCCTCTCAGGAGATGGCGCTGGCACCGTTTTTACCATTGATGAAACCACAGGGGACATTCATGCAATAAGGAGCCTAGATAGAGAAGAAAAACCTTTCTACACTCTTCGTGCTCAGGCTGTGGACATAGAAACCAGAAAGCCCCTGGAGCCTGAATCAGAATTCATCATCAAAGTGCAGGATATTAATGATAATGAGCCAAAGTTTTGGGATGGACCTTATGTTGCTACTGTCCCAGAAATGTCTCCTGTGGGTGAGTAGGCAAATCAAAATTCTGTGAGATACAATGAGACCTCTTCAACATTGACTTTTTGCAGGTTGATGTAAACATCTTATCTATCATCTAAAAGAATTATTTTTCAATTCTAGAAAATACAGTTCTTTTCATTTATTTTTGTAACTTTTTTGTTTTTCTTTCTGCTTCATTATGAAGATAACTACAGGAATATATAACATTAGTTCCTGTTTTCCACCCTGTGAATTTACCTGAATTCATAGAATCCTTGCGTGCTTTAAGCAAAAAATGTATTTTGTATTGAAATTGATTCTTATCTCAATTCCAGACACCTATACAGTGCTGGAGACACCTACCCTACACCACGAAATGCCAGACAGTAATTCCTAGATCAAAGTAAATGATCTAAAGCATGCATCACATCTGATCTGGAAGTGGTCCAGAAACAGGTGTGTTGCATCTTTTGTAGCTGTAAATAGAGATTCTGGAAGGGTGATACTGTTTCCTTTTCAGGGTAAATAACCCATACTTGTTATGCCATCAAGCCAAGCAGCAAATGAATAATGTCATGAAAACATTATTAGAACAAATTAACAAATTACAATTACAATTATCAAATTAACAATTAGAATATAGTAGCACCATCATTCTAAAAATTTAAATTTGATATAAATATACATTTCCATATCAGCCTAAATTTACAAAGTCCTATAATATGTAGGATATAAGGTCAATAAGTTAAGAATTCCAGCCTTAAGGACAATTTTAAATTATAATTTTTATTCCTCAGTCACCACTGCTAATCCTTCAATTTATTTCAAAGTAACTTCTGGTTTTTATTACATTTGGAAGATAAAGCAACTTATCACATGTAGGTTACAACTTAAAATTCGTGTATGAGCCATTGCTTATATTTTCTAAATCTGACATGACCCAGGGGGTTTCTACTGCTCCTACCACCACCCAGGACATGCGATGAAGATTGTGCACGCTACCGTGAGGGCAGAAGCAGGTTAGTAGCTGTAGGAGCTGTCACATGGATTTACTATAATGCACTTGAAATTGTGTATGTGACCTTATCAGGCATTTAAGGACCATAATCTCTCCTTGACCTAAGAAATCAGCTTGAAGTAATTCACTTAGATTTCAAATTTTAATGTGGATACCCAAGGCTGCAAATCTGTTATTCAGTACCTGCTACACTTTTGGGGTTGCCTCTTTTATGCACTGTTAGAATTGCTAGAAATTTAGAAGTCCAATTGGAAAGAAGCATATCTTGTTAGAAAGTATTCCCAGAAAATGAGGAAGGCTACATTTTAACTGTGTCTTGATTTTACAGGGAGAAAAATAAAGTTAATATTTTGAGGAAAAAATAAGGCTTTTAAGATGACATGCTATATAGTAGACAAATAGTTTAACTCGGTGCCTACTTCATGTACACTGGATGTGTTAACATGAATTTATGACCTTCAGTGACTTTTTATTACCAAAACAGCTTCCTTAAAGCAAACACACACACATGCCTCTACAGTATTGGAAAATTCCGTCTCCTTAGATAAAACAATTAGGATTTTTCTTGGGCCAACTAGAATAATTAGGGCTGCAGAGTTGGAGCCTTTATATAAGGAGTTTGCAGCTCATATCCGAAGAGAGAAATGTATTTGGAAAGTCAAAAGTGTAGGTAAGTGAGAAAGCAGAGTAGTTTCAGCTTTTGCAGTTGGAGTGGGTATAATTTACTGTGTTGTCATAAGATACTGGAAAGATCTTTGGAAGAATAGGTTCTTAAAGTGTTTTCTCATGTGCCCTTACTGACATTTCCCATTGGGCCTTCAAGACAACTCCAGTAAATACTTAAATTGATTTTCAGTGCACTGCTTTCTTTCATTTTTATTTATTTATTTTGAGACTGGGTCTTGGTCTGTTGCCCTGGCTGGAGTGCAATGGCCCAATCTTAGCTCACTGAAGCCTTAAATTCCTGGGCTGAAGAGATCCCTCCACCTGAGCCTCCTTAATAGCCAGCCATGTGCCACCCTGCCTAGCTATTTGTTTTTGTTTTTTTTTTTTTTTTTTACTTTTTGTAGAGAAGGGATCTAGCTATGTTGCCCAGGCTGTTCTCAAGTAGTCCTGGCCTCAAATGATCCCTCCACCTTGGCTTCCCAGAGCACTGGGATTACAGTCATGAGCCACCCTCCTGGCTCCTTTTTTTTTTATTTTTAATAACAGAAGGGTATTTCTTTTGAATGTGAAATTTTACCACATGGTATGAATTAGTCCAAGTGTTTTTATACTAAATTTACATAATATACACTTTTCAAGTAAGTACAAAGAGGTATAAACACTGCTTATGAATTGAATGTTAAAAAATAAATCTCTATGCATTACTTTTGTCTTTCCCCATAATCTCACGTATACACATAAAACAAAAAACAAGAAGACCCAGTTATAGTTGTGGTATCTGCTGTTTCTGCCTTGAAATTTCCAGCTTACAGCTAAGCAACAACTACTGTGCATCCAGAACTTACATCTATGTTCCTAGAGTACTTGTACCCCATTCTCAAGTGCACCCTTCTTACCAGGTGGAAATAGTTCACTGCTGTAATAATCTAAGAAAACATTATGTTTCTCTCTACTTTTTTTTCTCTCATATAATCTAGGCAATTCTCCCTCTGTATCATTTTCCTGAGAAAACTAAAATAATTTTTAATCAAGACCAGATGGAACTTTGTATGGTATATTGACAGTATACCAATTGT
Organism: Homo sapiens; assembly: GCF_000001405.40. Taxonomy (NCBI): domain Eukaryota; kingdom Metazoa; phylum Chordata; class Mammalia; order Primates; family Hominidae; genus Homo; species Homo sapiens. The sequence goes on from NW_003315917.2 coordinate 1,066,274, forward strand.
TGTGACGAATCTTACTGCCTGTTGTAGATATCAGTGTTTGAAGTATTCCCTATGAAATAACTTTTCTGTCCCAATAATTGAGAGGGCTGTTTCATTTCCAAAAAAGGGAAGAATTAATCAATTAAAAATACATATAGTGAAATAACCTGTTTTGTAACATAAAACATAAGATGAAGAAATATCGGAACATTGATACGAAGTTTAACAGTAATGGATTATATATCCAGAAATATGAACAAATAAACCTGCAATGAAAATTTACTAATGTTACTAATTTTCACTTGTGTAACGTAAACATTACAAAGAACATAGTGTACAAAGGGAGAATGTTGGTGGGTAGGATGAGTCAAGATTTCAGAGGAAAATCAATATTTAAGACTTACAGCACTGTGGAATATATTTCATTTTCCTAAAGTTGAAGAAAATTTCAGTGAATCTATGAATTGTTTAAGACAAAGGTCACTCCGTTACTGACTTCTGCTACATCTAATTTTCCAGGGAAGTAATATTTAGAGATAAAAAGCTTTTACTCTGACCTCCGGAAATTACTTAATGATCCAGATACTCCCAAAGTCAAAGCAAATCCTTGGAGACAAGTTTGGACTTTATGAATGTGGACTTAATTCTTTAAGATCACTAGAGCAACAATAAATTACAGGAATGTACCCTCTTTATATCTGATGATTATGCATAAGTGGGGTGTGCAGTTTTAAGTTACTTTTCCTACAGTGCTGACAGGTTTAGAGTGTTAAATCCATACTCAACTTGTATTATCTTCCTCTGCTTGAGCTATGCCACCTTGAGTCAGCTGATTTGACTATTTATAATTAGATACCTAACCTATGATATGATATAGTAGATGTCAATAGTGACTCATCATTTATGTAGTAAGTCTTACCATTTTCTAAGCAGTAGTCAGGTGCCATGTGATCTAACTAAAGATTTGTATTTCTTATTTTACTTAACAATTACAGTAACCCCAATGCAGTATTATTCACTGTTGGATTTTTTTTAATGTGAAAACTTAATAACCCCTGTGGATAAGAAAGTAAGAATGATTCTTAGGTGCTTTAGGACCAAATTAATCAGAATTTAATATACCACTTTGTCTAGGTGTCATGGCGGCTAAAATATCTTTGAGAAAGTTAAACTTAGCTTTCAATCTCAGATGATCTACTTAAGAATTTGGAAAGTTTATATTATATTATTTGAGAATGGGGATTCTTGCTTAAACGAAACCTGAAGGATGGGCATCTTTCATTCAATATCTTAAAAAGAAAGTTTAGCTGACATTTAAATAAGAAAAGATACACCTAAAATAAAGTAGAACACTGGTTTAATAAAAATAGTGAACAGGTACTCCCTTGCCTTTCTATTTTTCTCTCAACTCTATTTTATTTTACATGAAGTTTGGGGAGAAATGCTAAGATGAAATTTTTGGTGGAGTCTTTCAGAGGTTATTTAACCAGAGACTATTTTCTTTTTTCTTTTTTTTTTTTTTTTTGAGATGGAGTCTTGCTCTATTGCCCAGGCTGGAGTGTAGTGGTGCGGTCTTGGCTCACTGCAACCTCTGCCTTCCAGGTTCAAGTGATTCTCCTGCCTCAGCTTCTCGAGTAACTGGGATTACCGGTGTGCACCACCGCACTCAGCTAATTTTTGTATTTTTAGAAGAGATGGGGTTTTGCCACATTGGCCAGGCTGGTCTCGAACTCCTGACCTCAAGTGATTTGCCTGCCTCGGCCTCCCAAAGTGTTGGTGTTAAGGACATGAGCCACAGTGCCCAGCCAACCAGAGACTACTTGTTTCGTGGCCATATTTAAACGGTCTAAGAAGGAAAAGTGAAGACTGTGTCTGTACTTTACATTAATGAACTATTACAATTTAGAAACATATATAAGTCTCCACACTTCCTTATTTTCACAAAAATGCCATAGAGAGACAAATTGAAACATAAAAAACTAGATATATTCTCTCATCCCATGAGCCAGCCATGGAAACAGAGAGCAGCTCAATTAGTAGCAGAGGAACAGGTGAATTATCATCCACTTCTATCTATGCCCTAAAAGCAGAGTTTTTTCAGAAGCTTGAAGACAGAATGTTGACTATTTATTTTCCACACATAAAGACATTCTCCTTGTGCAATCAAACTACAATGTTTAAAATCAGGAAATTTGCATTAATGTATTATTATAATCTAATCCTTCAGCCCTATTCAAGCATTAGCACTTGTCTCAATAGTGTCTTATATAACAAAAAGTTCAAGTTCAAAATCAAACATTGTATTAAAATGTTAGGTCTGTTTAGTTTCCTTTAATCTGGAACAGGTTCATATTTTTTCTTGGTTTCCGTGACTTTAATATTTTTGAAGATTTCTGCCTAGTTATTTTTTAGAATGGCTCTCCCATCTTGAGTATGTGTGATGTTTCCTCATGTATGAATGAAGCATATACATCTTTGTCAGAAATATCCCAGAAGCAATTCTGTACTCTCCTCATTATGTTCTATTGGGTGGGCCATGGTTTTTGATTTGTCTCATTACTGATGATGGTTACTTTTATTATTTGATAAAGGTTGTATATAACTTATCTATTATGGCATAATACATTAGCTAAAACCTTAGCGGTGTAAAACAGCAGATACTTACGTTTCTCATAGGAATGGCTCTATTGAGTACCTCTGTCTCAAGGCTTCTCAAGAGTTTGTAGCTACCTTGTTGGCTGGGGTTGCGGTCTGACCTAAAGGCTTAGTTAGGGGGTGGTAGAAATCTTCCATATGTTCTTTGCTACGTGGACCTCACAGGCCTACATCATAACGTGGCAGCTGGCTTTCCTCAGAATGAACTACCCAAAAGAGAGCTAGACAGAGAGAAAACCCTCTGATTGAAGCCATAGTCTATTTATAACCTAATCTTGAAAGTGACATCACATCCCATCTGCCATATTATACAAGTAAGTGCAACGCGAATACAAGAAAGCTGGGATCATTGAGGGCTCTCCTACAGTCTACCTACCACTCTCTATATTCTGGCTCTCAATGATTCATGTTGCTCTCTCATGCAATATATCCTCATCCCCTTCTGAGGACCCCAAAATTTTCAACCCACTATAGCATCAGCTCAAAGTCCAGAAGCTTTTCATCTAAATCAAGTCCAGATGGGGAAGTGATTTTGGGTTTAATTCTTTTTTTTTTTTCTTTTAGATTTTTTTACTTTTAGTTTTGGAGTACCTGTGCAGGATGTGCAGGTTTGTTACATTGATAAACATGTGCCAGGGTGGTTTGCTGCACCTATCAACCCATCACATAGGTATTAAGCCCAGCATGCATTAGTTATTTTTTCTAATGCTCCCCATCCCTCCCCTCCACCCCCCATCAAGCCCCAGTGTGTATTGTTCTCCACCCTGTGTCCATGTGTTCTTACTGTTCAGCTCCCACTTCTAAGAGACAACATGTGGTGTTTGGTTTTCTGTTCCTGCGTTACTTTGCTAAGGATAATGGCTTCCAGATTCATCCATGTCCTTGCAGAGGACATGATCTCATTTCCTTTTTGTGGCGGCATAGTATTTCATGGTGTATATGTACCACATTTTCTTCATCCAGCTTTGTGATACTAAAGAGGCCAGTTACTTACTACACATTCACCAAAAATACAGTGGCAAAACAGGAATAATGTCTCTAGACATTCCTGTTGAAAAAAATGGGAAAATGCACAGACTAAAAGAATGATTGGTCCACCACATTTTAAAATCCCAGTGGTAAATGTTGCAAGTCATTTGATTATATTCAACGCCTGTGAATAATTATTCATGCCTCTCATCTCTGACCTCTAGGCTCTTCGTTCTGCCTTTTGAGTTATTCTTTTTTTTTTTTCCATGAAATACAGCTTGTACTTGCAATAGTACTTGGGTGTTGAACTTGTTAAGAGTGCTTATCCTTTTTTTCAGATCCATCTATCATTTCCTAGTTGTATGTGGTTGTGTGGGTTATTTCTCCTCTTTTACATTGATTTTCTCACCTGCAAGTGAATAATAGTAACACTTTATGAGCAGGGTTATTGCAAGTAGCAAGGAGAAAATATATATTTACCATTTGCCACAATCCCTGGGGAAGTGCAGTCAATACATTGGAAAGGGTCCTCATAAGAGTTTGATGATCATTCTCAGAAAGCTAGCCAGAGAAAGTCTAAATGGTAAAGGTTCCAGCTCATTATCTTCTTCCCTTTTCTCAAGTTTTCTCTCCATCTGACATGTGAGCTCAGTATTTACCATTGCCCTTTCTACAAATTTAACCAAGTTTATTTAAAAACATAATGACCTTCTATCCCAATTTACATTTTCTTTGGTGTAGAGGACGCCTTTACCTTGATGTGTGGAGACAAGCCGTTGATTTGTAAGAAACACCAATTATCAGCTTCCACTTGTGCTTCACAATCTGCTGAGTCGCTTTAACACTTTTGATGAAATTGAGCAAGGCCTTGTGATCTCTCCTGTGCCAGCCGTGAAGTGTCCACTGCACGCAGCTTGGCAGAACTATTTTCAGGGCCATAGGATGTTATGGCTGTGTGGGCAGGGAGCATTTTATTCGTCTGTTTGATTCCTATGTTTTTATTAGTGGTGCAATTGCAAAGGTAATGCTATTGACACTTTTTGTGTAGCCTTGAGAGAAGAGTATGAATTGTTTTAGTAGCAGCACAGCGTGTCCCTAAATATAAATCATGCTGTACTGATAGTTACTTTAGCAGCCACTGATCAGCAATAAATGTTAAAAATTAACAAGAAGTTTCTTTTTTTCGAAACCACCAAATGACTCTAAGCATTAAATATATTTTAGCCGGAGTTGCTTCTCGGCCACAGAGTGGTTCACAACATTAAACATATTTTCAAAGTATTACTCCTTCCCCAGCCTCCAAGTGGTTGTAAACATTAAATATGTCTTATAAAAACTGCTTTGCCAGCTACTGGCAAGACAGCTATGAACATCATTTTTCTTTAAAGTTGCCTTCCAGCTGCGGGACTATTTTTCCTTATTTGCTCTATTCTATTTATATTTTGTACACAAAAGCAGGCAAGAGGCTACATTGGCCCAATTGTCTCTGGCTTTATGATAAGTGATCGTGGGAGAGCAGTTGCACCTCCGTAAAACCCTGCTGGCCACAGGAGCTTGCTGAAGTTCAATCACTGATACTGAATATTTCATATAGATGTCAGCTGTGTCTTCCAAAATAATTTTTGTTTTTCATTGTGCAATGTGTTGAGGCATAAAGATGGGCATGCATTAACATCAGCATTAAGAAAAATAACTTGAAGCAACCAGACACTGATGAATTATACCCACTGATTCAGGTGAAAATATTCCGTGAAGAGAACAGACTCAAATGGCAGGACTAGTATGTTAATGAGGTCTTTAACCCAAACATGATGAAAGACTTGGAGCCTCTGTCTGGAAATCATCCAGTGTGACAACTGCATGTGATTCAAAAAGAGTGAAGAGTATGCTATTACATAAAGGTCTATCCAGGACTTAGAGCAGGAAATCTTTTCATTTTAACCAAATTCACAGTGAAAATAACGTGTGTCCCCTGAGTGAATTGAAAAATAAATTAGCTCTATCATCTCAGGCACAGTAATTCATCATCAGGCCAAATAATTAATTACTCAGGAAGGCTTTGATTTCTATGGGAGCCAAGTGTTCTCCAAATTGTGTAGTACTGTATCTTGCCAAATGTTTTATTTTAGGTGTATGTTCAACAGGTTCAAATATTCATCAATACCTACGTGACAGGCACTATTTTAGGTACTGGAGCTAGAACTTGAGCAAAAAAGACAAAAAGTCCTCCTCTCAGGAAGCTTTTACTCCAAAGGCCTCCTGCAGGGGCAGCAAGCTAAACTCTGTGAGCTAAATTCAACATATCATCTGTTTTTATTGGAACAGTTACACTTATTCATTTCTGTGTTGTCTATGGCTGCTTTCACACCACAATGGAAGAGCTGGCAACAGAGACCATATGGCCTGCAAAGACTAAAATATTTACTATCTGCTCCTTCACAGAAAAGTATGTTGACCCATTACATAGTGGATTGAGTTTGAGAGAGGAGATTAAGGTAAGGCCAACATTTTAAATCGACCTATGAGGAAAAAGTGTTTTTTTTCTCCCTAAAAATTACCTCCTCCAGAAGAAAACAAAAAACAAAAAAACATAAAAATAAAAAGAAAGAAAATGGCAAGACCCAAGGTAAAATGAAGGGTAAAAGTGAGCACCACACTAATACATATGTATCAGCGTGAAATCAGATGCTGCCATTTAGTTCCTGCTGAAAGTGTTGGTTTGGCTTTATTAAAATAACTTAAACACAGTCTTTCAATGTTATAGACTCATGGTAAAGGTTTCTTTTTCCTTTTGTGAATTTTTAAAAATTTCTCTGCAAAAATTATTCCTCACACAATTATGTAACTTTATATTTTCAATTAAAACTAAAACTAAAAATGTTGAAAGAACAACTCGATATTGGATTAAAATATTCATTTTCCATCTTCATTCTCAGGATTCATATTTGGTTGCCTCATTGCGATATAAGTATGTTGAAAAAAATGGAAAATTGCTGAAAGCAAAAATTTTAAAACTCACCAGTATTAATAATTATCACCAAATAACTATTACAGAAAACTTCCTCAGAAAGTAAAATTAGGGTGAAGGTATCACAGGTTGGCACTATTTTCATTCCCTACCAAGAAACTGACACCTGAAAATTAAAAAAAAAAAAAATCAGAGTCTACAGTTTTACAAATAATTAACAAAATGAACATCAAAATAGGGTGCAATTTGTTTAATTGGCAAAGGCACACAACGAAAAAGAAATATGTCAATTAAACTGTCAACCATGTTAATTTTGCCTCTGAGAAAAACATTGTAATGGGATAATTTCACGAAATGCTTTGATGACAAGAAAATGCCAAAATATGATTAGCTACTTCAAAATTCAGCTGAAACAAGAAAGCAATTGGTGGCAGCCAGAATAACCAAAGGTCTTTTTTTTAATATACCTTTTTTTTTCCGTCTCTTTTTGCCTGTGTTTAATCAACAGCGTACATTTTGTTTGACAGTGAAATGATTCATAATGAAAACACTGGCATCACAAAAACTTAGCAGAAACTTTGCTATAAGATTAGAGTATACACTTCTATTTTCCCCAAACTCTTTAAAAATATAATTACTATTTCTGAAAGAATTTGTTATCTTTATGAAATAATGTATTTTTCTTACTAGCATTAAGTGCTTATTTAGCTAAAAGCCAGAATTAGAAGCAATTCACTCATATGAGTATGTTTATATTTATATTGTCAAATATATTTACTTAGAATTTAAACCAAGATATATTTTATTTATTGTTCTCATCACTGCCTGTTAGTCAGAATGGATATTTTAAATTTTACCAGGTCATGTAAATTTTACTACCTATATTTCTTATTCCTGTTTGTTTAGAAAAATAATCTAGTCTATACCTAAGCTAACAAATAATCCTAAACATTGAAAATACAAACATGAGTATGAAGAATTCACTTTCTAATAAGTTTCAGCTTTTTACAAATGGCTGCTTAAATATAATGCATAAATATGACGTATTTTTAAAAATACATCTTGTTTATGCATTACTTGAACCATAACTAATCCCCATTTCCAGTCAAAAAGAACACTGTCTACATATGTTAATCTCTAATACAACAAAAGCAGGCTTAGCTTAATGGGAAACTTATTAGAGTAAAATAGTTCTTTTTATTTTTTATTTTATTTTATTATTACAATAAGAAGATTATAATTTGGTAACTAGCAGGAGAAGAAAGACTTCCAAAGATTATTTTATGGGTCCATGTATTTGCTTTTCCTGAGGGTAACTAGTGCTAATTCTAGAAAGGCAGAATGCTGTAGGAAAAACAAAATAAGCCCTGGAGTACAAAAGATTTGGATTCAAACTTTGAAGAAGGATGGGGAAGTGTTTAGGAAAGTGCTTCCCTGTGTAAAACTTAGCTGGTAAGTACCATATTTCACTGAAATTGCTGTTATAATAATTGAAACGGATTATTATTGGAAAAACAACATCAGCAAAACTAAAACCTAGATGAGTTTAAATAAGTGCCAGCCATTTTTCTCCTGTGGGGATTTAGAGTTGAAGTGGGTATCTTCGATTACTTTTCTTTATCCTCATTCTTATTCTTATAATTTTTCCTAATAAGTCACCTAAGAAGGGCATTTAAATAAGTGCTAGCCTTTTTTCTCCTAGGGGGATTTAGAGTTGAAGTGGATGTCTTCAATTACTTTTCTTCTCTATTCTCGTTCTTATTCTTATAATTTTTCCTAATAAGTCACCTAAGAAGGGGATTCTAGAAACATCTCTTTCCAAGAATACATATTGTTTTAAGAAATATCAGTTACCCCAAATACTTGAATAGAAACTAGGAAAACAGGAGAGGGAGATTATAGGTGTAAACAAGGAATTACTGTGCAGTAATATGTGTAGTGGACGTGAAAAGTAATGACTTAACAGTTTGAATACACAAAGATGGACCAAACAAATACATTTATTTCTCCTTTATTCCAAATTGCCATTGAAATAGGAAAATATAGTACTTATTAAAATAACTATGGAAAGTTGAGAAGAATTCTACCAACAGACTAAAGAGTAAGCAATTTCTGAAGGACATAAGTCATATCAGAGGCACTTTAGTCTTTGGCCATAATAGAATTATTGGAGGGACTTGCCTTTTCACTATAAACAATGATAAAACTGGGCAACATATATGAGGAACCAGATTTTATGCATCAAACAAGAAGTACAAGTTTTTCATACTCAAGAGAGAAGAAAGCTGTGAGGTAAGTACCACATTTAACCAGAGAATGTGACTAGGGGCACTTTTTCTCCCATTAAACAAGGAGGCAGACTCTAAAAATAATGAGTTTAGAGGAAGAAATTAAAGCTTAAAGCTCTCATTTTGTAGGTTGTCTGCTTATTTGTTGATAATTTCTTTTGCTATGCAGAAGCTCTTAGTTTAATTAGGTTCCAAAAAGAGGTAGGGGTAGAGGGACAAGAGCCAAGGAACTTCCTGTTAGGTATTCAGTTCACTACCTGGGTGACAGGATCAGTGGAAGCCCAAACAGTAGCAGCAAGCAATATAACTTTGTAACAAACCTGCACATATACCCCCTGAATCTAAAATTACAATTAAATCTCTATCTATATCATCTCTCTCTCTCTCTATCTATCTATCTATCGATATTTGTAAATAGCTTACACTTGCTTAAGTGGTTGTTATTTAAGAGCTGCTGAAGTGGCTGAAATTTGTATAGGAAAGGAAAAAGAGGCATGGGGTAGGCCTACAGAAGCCAGAATAAGTATTTGGCACCAATTTCGTCAAAAGCTGCTCTATACCTGAGCAGGGTTAACATCTGCAAGACCTGCTGAAAGCAGATACTGTGGGAATAAGATATCAGTAGTAACAGGACAAGGAGATGTTTGGGTTACTGACTAGCCACAGGGAAGATATTTTACGGAATATTCCAGGCATTAAGAACAAGGACTATTTCTTTCAGTAAAGACTATGTCCTATCTTTAAGAACAAAAATGAAAGAGATTTTCATTAACAAATAATGAAACCAGGCATGGCAGATCAAAAGGATCTGGAAGCCACTTAACAGCTTTCAAAGGACTATCTTAGGGCCTTTTACAAGAAGACAACGTCTAGATTTTCTACAGTGTATTAGTCAAAAATACAAGTTACGCAAAGAAGCAGGAAAATTTAATAAATAATCAAGGGGAAAAAAGCAGTCAATAGAACATACATCATAATGACCCAGGCATTGAAATCAACAGATATATATTATGAATATGTCCTTAGACTATGGAGATATTGTCACAATGATAGAACGAAAAAGGTAATTTTGAGAAATGAACATTGTTGAAGTAACAAGTGCAAAATATACAATGAAAGAGTCACTGGCAGGGTATACTCTCAGATTTCAGCTATCTGAAAAGCAGACAAATAACCTTGAAAACCATTTTTGAATTTATCTAATCTCAAACAAAAGAGGAAAATGATTAAAATAAGAGATTGAATGACATGGGATATCAAGCCATCAAACCTATACACAAATGAAGTCTCAAAAGGATGAGTCAGAAAATGGGAAAGAAAAAATATATTTGAAGAAATAATTGCCAGTGTTTTCAAATTTTGATGAAAAATTTCAATGCAGAGATCCAAGAACATCGAATCAACAAGAACACATGTATGAAGGGTATAAAGCCAATAGCATAATTAAAATGAAATATTGAAAAATATCCATTTACTCTAAGGAAGGTAACACTGAACCGGTGAAGAAAGAAATATCAACAACCAAGGGAAGAGAACAACACCCAAATAAGAAAATAGTAGGCAAATAGTAACATGGTAGATTTAACAACACTGACATCACTGATTAAATGTAAATGGATTGAACATTTATATTAGTTTCCTAGGGTTATATAACAAAGTACCATAAACTAGGTGCCTCAAGCAACAAAAATGTATTATCTCAAGTCCTGAAGGCTAGAAGTCTGAATTCAAGGTACTGGTTCCTTCTAAAGGCTGTGAAGAAGAATCTGTTCTAGACATCTCTCCGTGGCTTTTAGATGGCTTTCTTCATGTTCATATGTTGTGCTTTCTGGTGGCATTTTTGTGTCCAAATTTCCCCCTTTCATAAGGCCACCAGTCACATTGGATTACAGGCCACTCTAATGATCCCATTTTGACTTGATTACATCTATAAAGATCCTATCTTTCAATAAGGTTGCATCCTTAATTACTGGGGTAAGGACTTCAACGTATGTTTTTTTTGGCAGACAATTCAACCCATAACACACTTAAATTAAGAGCTAGCAATTTTGAGACTGGATTTAAAAAGGACAAAACTATATGCTCTGTATAATGAATGCATTTTTTTTTTGAGATGGAGTCATAAAATTGGTTGAAAATGAAAGGAAGTAAAACTGATGTAGCTGGCTAATACCAGAGAAAGTAGGATTCAAAATAAGCTGAAATATCAGAGATGGAATGATAAAAGGTTAAGCTCATTAGCAATGCATTATAATTCTCAATGTTTATACAACTGATAACAGAGTGTCAAAATGCATGAAGTAAAAACAGACAGAACTAAACAGAGAAATAGACTTTCACTCATAGTTGAAGATTTTAATCATCGGCTCAAAATAAACAATAGATGAACAAATAAAAATTAGTAAGGATTTGGAAGATTCTAATAATACTATCAACTAATGTAGTCTAATTTCAAGTTTTAGAACACTACACAAAAAATTTCATGAAAATATTTTTATCAAATTTACATGGAATGTTTACGAAGGACTGTGTAGTCTCGGTCATTAAATAAGTCTCAATAATTTGCAAAAGATTAAAAATTATCTTCAGAGGTGAAACAATGGTTTTTGTGTTGATTGAGATATTGATTAAATATGTACATTTGTGAAAACTTACTAAATTGAATGCTTAATTTCTGTGCATTTTGCTGTATCTCAATTCTAATAGAAAGACAGGCAAACATATAAATACCTATTACAGACATACCTACACACACACACGTGTGTGTGTATGTGCGTGTGTGTATGTGTGTGTATAAGTCATTTGCATATATACTGGCAGTGAATCCCAGTAAAGGTGAGGAATACATATTCTCACACTGGTAGAAATGATGACTTTTTACAGTCTGATTTTTTTTGTGTTTTAATCCAGAAATAATCCCAAAATTAGAGATACAAGGGAATGGTAATTGGTCCATAGAATAAGAACTGTCCAAGAAATTTATAGCACATGACTCCCTGTCCCACGCTCAATTGAGGTTTGTTTTATGTCTTTGCTCTGGGAAGAAAGCCCCCAGTTTAGCTTTCTAAATGATGAGTTCAGAATCTACTCACAAGCATTAGAGATTAGTAAAGTTCCTTGTATTCAGTAGAGTTCCTTGCAACAAGCATGAGCAGTAGAGATGCTGCCACTTTCAAAAGACTTACATATGGACCACTGAAAAGAAAGGCATTATGTGGTCAATTTTAGAGCATGTGCCATGTGGAGATGAGAAGAATGTATATTCTGTTGTTTTTGGATGGAGAGTTCTGTAGATGTCTATCAGACTCATTCGGTGGAATGTTGGGTTCAGATCCTGAATATCATTGTTAATTTTCTACCTTGATGATCTGTCTATGACTATCAGTGGTGTGTTAAAGTCTCCTACTATTATTGTGTGGGAGCCTCTTTGTACTCTAAGAACTTACTTTATGAATCTGGGTGTTCCTGTGTTGGGTGCATATATATTTAGGTTAGTAAGGTCTTCTTGTTGAGTAAAACCCTTCATCATTATGTAATGCCCTTCGTCTTTTTTTTTTTTTTTTTTTTTGAGACGGAGCCTCACTCTGTCGCCAGGCTATAGTGCAGTGGCATAATCTCAGCTCACTGCAATCTCCGCCTCCCGGGTTCAAGTGATTCTCCTGCCTCAGCCTCCCGAGTAGCTGGGACTACAGGCACACACCACCAAGCCCAGCTTATTTTTTTTTTTTTTTTTTGGATTTTAGTAGAGATGGGGTTTCACAATGTTGGCCAGGATGGTCTCGATCTCCTGACCTTGTAATCCGCCCACCTTGGCCTCCCAAAGTGCTGGGATTACAGGTGTGAGCCACCACTCCCGGCCCCTTCTTTGTCTTTTTTGAACTTTGTTTGTTTGACGTCTGTTTGGTCTGAAATTAGGATGCAACCCCTGCTTTTTTCTGTTTTCTACATGCTTGGTAGATTTTCCTCCATTCCTTTATTTTGAGCCGATGGGTGTCATCACATGTGAGATAGGTCTCAAAGACAGCATACCATTGAGTCTTGCTTTTTTATTCAGCTTGCCCCCCTTTACCTTTTAAGTGGGGCATTTAGCCCACTTACATTCAAGGTTAGTATTTGATATGTGTAGATTTGATGCCCTCCCTCATGACTCCTATTCAACATAGGAAATCCCAGCCAGAGTAATCAGGCAAGAGAAAGAAATAAAGGGCATCCAAATAGGAAGAGAGGAAGTAAAATTATCCCTATTTGAAGCTGACATGATTCTATATCTAGAAAACCCATAGTCTCAGCCGCAAAGCTCCTTCTGCTAATAAAAAAAACTTCAGCAAAGTTTTAGAAAGAAAATCAATGTACAAAAATCACTAGCATTTCTATAAACCAACAGTAACCAAGCTGGCAGTCAAATCAGGAAGGCAATCCCATTCACAATTTTCACAAAAAGAATAAAATATCTAGGGTAAAATACAACTAACCAGGGAGGTGAAAAATCTCTACAATGAGAATTACAAAACACTGCACAAAGAAATCAGAGAGGATACAAACAAAATGGAAAACATATCATGCTCATGGATAGGAAGAAGCAATATCATTAAAAGGCCATACTGCACAAAGCAATTTACAGATTAAATGCTATTTCTATCAAACTACCAATGACATTCTTCACAAAACTAGAAACAACTGTTTTAAAGTTCATGTGGAACCAAAAAAGAGGCCAAATAGCCAAGGCAATCTTAAGAAAAAGAACAAAGCTGGAAGCATCAGGCTATCTGACCTCAAACTATACTACAGGGCTATGTTAACCAAAACAGCATGGTGCTGGCACAAAAACAGGGACATAAACCAATAGAACAGAATAGAGAACCCAGAAATAAAGCCACACAGCTATGATTATCTGATCATCAATAAAACTGACAAAAACGAGCAATGGGGAAAAGACTGTCTTTTCAATAAATGGTACTGGGATAACTAACTAGCCATATGCAAAAGATTGAAACTGGACCCCTTCCATACACAATATACAAAAATCAACTCAAGATGGATTAAACACTTAAATGCAAAACACAAAATTAGAAAAACCCTGGAAGACAACCTAGGCAATACCATCCTGGACTTAGAACAGGCAAGGATTTCATGACTAAGATGTCAAAAGCAATTGCAACAAAAGCAAAAATTCATAAATGGGAACTTCATTAGTCCATTTTCACACTGCTATAAAGAACCACCAGAGACTGAGTAATTTATAAAGAAAAAGGTTTAATTGACTTGAAGTTCAGCATGGCTGGGAAGGCCTCAGGAAACTTACAATTATAGGAGAAGGTGAAAGGGATGCAATGCACCTTTTTCACAAGGCGGCAGGAAGGAGAAGTACCAGGCAAAGCTGGGAAGAGCCCCTCATAAAACCATTAGATCTCGTGAGAACTCATTCACTATCACAAGAACAGCATGGGTGAAACCACCCCCAGATTCAATTACCTCCACCTGGTCTCTCCATGTGGTGATTATGGAGATTATAATTCAAGATGAGATTTGGGTGGGGATACAAAGCCTAAACATATCAGGATCTCATTAAACTTATTAAGAGCTTCTGCATAGCAAAAGAAACTATTAACAAAATAAACAGACAACCTACAGAGTGGGAGAAACTATTTGCAAACTATGCGTCTGACAAATGTCTAAAATCCAGCACCTATAAGGAATTTAAACAAATTTACAAGAGAAAAACAACCCCACTAAAATGTGGGCAAAGTACATGAACAGACACTTTTCAAAAGAAGACGTACATGTAGCCAACAAGCATGTGAAAAAAAAAAAAAACTCAATATCACTGATCATTAGAGAAATGCAAATTAAAACCACAATGAAATATAATTTCATACCAGTTAAAATGGCTACTATTAAAATGTCAAAAAATAACAGATGCTGGCAGGTTGTGGAGAAAAGGAAACACACACTGTTAGTGGGAGTGTAAGTTAGTTCAACTATTGTGGAAAGCAGCATGGCAATTCCTCAAAGAGATAAAAGCAGAACTACCATTCCAACCAGCAATCGCATTACTGCATATATACCCAGAAGAAAATATATCATTCTACCATAAAGACACATGCACACAAATGTTCATTGCAGCAATATGCACAATGGCAAAGACATAGAATCAACCTCAATGCTCATCAATAAGAGTTTAGATAAAGAAAATGTGGTATATAGACACCATGGAGCTATAAAAAAGAATGAGATCACGTTCTTTGCAGTAACATGGATGGAGCTGGAGGCTATTATACTGGCCAAATTAACACAGGAACAAAAAACCAAATACTAGAAAATACTGCATGTTCTCACTTACAAGTGGGGAACTAAATTATGAGAACACATGGACACAAAGAAGGGAACAGCAGACACTGGAGTCTACTTGAGAGTGGAGGGTGACAGGAGACAGAGGAGCAGGAAAAATAATTGTTGAGTACTTGGTACCTAGGTGACAAAATGATCTGTACAACAAACCCTGATGACACGAGTTTACCTATATAACAAACTTTCACAGGTACTCCCAAACCTAAAATAAAAGTTAAAAAAAAAAGAAGAAAGCAAGCCCAAACCCATGCTGTACCACATGGCAGCATGGCATTGCAATTTTCAATTACTTGGGGGAAATAAAGATTCTCATGTGATTAGAGGAAATAATCTTTATTTAATAACAATGCTTAATAAGAACACTTGACAATAGATGGCTGAGAAAACCAAGAATCACCAAATATTTAAATAAAAATAAAAAATAAAGAATATCCTATCTATGAAATGATATAAACACTAAGAAAATAGAATTAACAGAAGAAACTAAAGAAAATGTCAATAGCCTTGGTGTCCATACAGGAATAGGAATCACAAAAATAACCATAAAATATTTTTAAAAATACCTTTTACAAGCAATACTCCAGAATGTCAGAAATTAAAAATATCATTAGCAAAATAAAATGTAGTAAACAGAATAAATAATATAAAAGATAAAACTGATGTCTAAAGATTACCCCAGAATCTGAACTGCATGAGGGGGAATAATAATTACATTACTGGATATGAGAACAACTATTTAATAGACACATCTACTTGGATGACAATGCTTTTTTTTAAATGTCAAATTTCCAGTTTATTAATTTTAATACATTTCTGATCAAAATTACTCATTTCTTTTTGTGCCCTTATTTTTTGCATTAATTTTCATTTTTTACATCTCCATGCTGAATTGAAAAAAACTTCTACTGACCTGTATTTCAGTATATTAATTATTCCTTCAATGGTATCTAATCTGGTGGTAAATTATCTATTATATTTAATTTAAGTAATCACATTTGTATTTTAAATGTTTTGCTTATTTCATCCACAATATAATACTAACACAGTTTTTTCTCTACAATTAGTTTAAGCTTTTAACTAAATTTTTAAAGAGTAAAATATTTATTATCTTTCTCTGATATTGTCCAATGTTTGAAGTCTTTGTGGGTCTAATTATGTTTCATGTTGTTTTTGTTGATTTTAACTTATTTTGCCTTGTTTCACTGTGTTCTTGAGAATATTGTAAGATTTAGCTTCAGGGTATTTTTATAAAGCATTCAGATTTGCTTCTCCCTAACACTTGGGCATACGAGTAGGACCACCTTAAAAAAATGTTCAATTTTTGAGATTACCTGAGTCACGCAGTCACACAAACCCAAGTAGTGGATCCAAGCTACCACTGCTTTAGGTCTGTCTGGTTCACCTTATGCTGAGGGTATAAGATTTGGTCATCTCAATCTTTTAAGGGTGGGCTCCTTAAGAAGACTTAACATATGCTAGTCTTCGGTTTTGGTTTCTTTCTCATTCACCCTGAAACTGTCAAAATAAATATTAATATTTGTAGAGATCGGCAAATTGCAACTGGTAAGGTTATATCCTTACCTCTCTGGGTTCTTCTTTTCTCTTCAAATTTGGTTCGATCACTTATTAAAATTTTATAAGCTCTCAATGCTTTTTAAAAGGTGTTTTAAATGTGCAATCACTAGCATTTTTTAAAGTTTTTTCATTGGGAATTATAGTCTGAATAATATCCCACCATAACTAGAAAATGAAATACCTACCTATTACAAATGCAATACATTTTATATATTGAGTAATTTGCCTTTTTCTAATTAATTTTATTTTAAAACTCATATTAAAATCTATATTTTATAAGAAAAAAAAAAGCTTGACATTTGATTAAGACCAACTTAGCTTCACAAATCTCTACCCGAATGACCACAGGCAAGTGATCTGACATTTGCAAGTGCCTATTTTTTTTTTTTCATTTATAAAATGGAAATACATAACTGAGCTTAATGTGGATCAAAGAAATTAATATGTAAAAAAAATCAAACACAGAACCTGAAAATGATAGGAAGTCAATTATTCAGCCTACCTATCCACTACTAAAATAATTCTTGGTTATGAACTTCACAAGGGAACACACTGTATTACTACTCTACTCAATAACATGAATTTCATTGTGTATCTTCTGGGGCAAGTGCTTCTTCCAAACAAATTAAACCATGCCACTCACACAATGTTCATCTATCTCATAAGTTTTTGCTATTCTCCTGTTGATTTTACATTTAATGAGGGATAAATTCTATTTTCACAATCATAATCAAATAGTACCTAGAGAATAAAAGCTACTAAGACAAGACAACCCTCAATTCAATTAATAACTAATCCCTCTCTTTTTCAGAGGTACATCAGTTGTTCCTCCAGGATTAAAACCCCTCCTGTTTTACAATAAAAAAGCAGACAGATGACAGGATCTCATTAAACATCTATTGTGCACCCACACAAAAAAAATTAAGTAGGCAGATGCTCTGATTATTTAAAGCAACACACAGAGTTTTAGGATGAAGTTTTATTTCTGAATTTTAACTTATGCACAACTTGTAAAATGTTACTTCATTTATAAATAAAGCAGCACTAACTTGGTAACTTGGAATCACTGTATTTTTCTTCATAAAGAATAAAGTCAGGATAACAGTTAGCTCTCTTTGTTTCTGAATAATGATTCAACATTAATTTAGATATTAGAAGCTCTCACATGCAAGTGTGTGTGCATGCACTCACACACACTACTCTGAAGAGGTAGAATATGAGGAAATAAGATACACATACACAGAGAAGGAATATGTAACATTTAATTTTAACCTCAATGACAGGAGGAGGAGCACCAATAATCTAAAAAAAAAAAGAAATCCCAAAAGTTTTGGATTAGCTGCCTCTCTAGCTAAGTATATATTTTATTGCTAATCAATATGGCATGACCAAAATTATAGCAATGAAAATAGTCATAATTATCATCAAGTAATGAAAATAATATTTATGTGCTCAACAGTATTACTTATATATTCTGATTAAATCATGTGCTATTGAAAGCAGGATGAAGTAGAGCTTATTTTATATCTTAGAATTCTTTTCCATCAATGTCAGTTTAGGAAATGAAAGTTATTAGAATTTCAATGTAATTAATTCATTTGCAATTGGTGTCTATTTGGTTATGTATTTTTTCATAGATATAGTCTGAGAGACATTATCTGGTAACTTTTATCATGTCTCTGAGAAACCAATTTTCTGTAAGGCCTAATTTTTTTTCTTAAATAAATATGTATCTGCTCATGCATATACCAACTTCATGGATTCCAAACAATAAAAAAGTTAATTGTAAGGATTGGACAGAATCTACATTTTAAATGCTATTTAAAACATTATCACACTGTAGTGGAGGAATCATAAACTGCAGAAGTTTTTCAACCATGCCACCACAAACTACATCTCTACAAAATGTTTTGTACTTTTACTTTAAAGAACTAAAATTGGAAACAAAGAGTGGAGAATTATTTCTTCCCTTTCTCTTCCCTTCATCCTCATTCTAGCACCAGTCATACCTGACCATGATTTTTAAAGAGTATAAATTACTCCTCTTCTCAGAGGTAGAAATACACAGAAAAATACACAAAAACCAAATTCTGTCAAAATATATTTAAAGAGGTTTATTCAGAGCCAGTATAAGTGACCAAGGCCTGGGTTACACTATCTCAAGAGGTTCTGAAAGCGTGCCCAAGGCAACCGGGTTACACTTTGGTTTTATACATTCCAAGGAGACAACCAACTGCAGGTAATTGCAGGTAGGTCAGGGTAGGAGCTTGTACGTCATAAGGGGCTTTTAGGGATCCTTTAGTTGACAATTGGTTGAGAGAGTTATGCTATCGTCTAAAGTCTTGAAATCGATAGAAAGGAATGCCTGAGTTCAGATAAGAGTGGGGGAAAGACCAAGGATCTTATTAAGTAGATGAAGCCTCATAGGTGGCCCTCAGAGAGAATAGATGGTAAATGTTTCTTTTCAGACCTTTAAAGGTATCAGACTCTCAATCACTCCTAGGTCCTGGAAAGGCATAGAAAGGGGAAGCATGGCTGCATTAATGAAGATTCTCCATAGATGCAAATTTCCTCTACCTCAGTTTGCTGGCCTTGCAACAGCCATTTCAAAAGACATCAAAGAAATATATTTTAGGGCAAAATATTTTTATATCCTTCAGGGTCTGCTGTCTGTTATGTGATGCTGTACCAGAGTCAGGTTGGAAAGCAAGCCACATTATATAGGGTTAATAAAAAACCCATGTAAAGAGATGTTATCATTCGTAGGGCTGACTCCCAGTTTCTTTAAATAGGAATTTGGGCAAGATGAAAAAAAAAAAATCAGAATTTAGTCCTCAACTCAAATATTTTATTCATTCAAACGCTTATTCAAACTACCGAATCCTCCAATAACAGAAAGTATAGTGTCCATCCTGAAGACTTTCATCCCATCTCACAGCATGTTTTCTCCTAGTACACCCTGATTGTCCAAGGACTTCTGAGAACACCATTCCAGAAGAGGTCATGATCTCAACAACTGTCACAGAAAGAAAGAATACAGGAAGACAAGATGCGAAAGTTATGTCAGTGGCTTTCATTCATCACACCACTACGTACTGGTTCTCTAGTACTGTGCTGTTATGATCCTCCTGACTTTTACCCTGTGAATATCCTAGTGCTTTTATATCAGTCTCACATCCTCAACACGCTGGTTTCCATAAAAATGCAACCAAGTCAGATGGCTGTGATCTGGTGGGATTCTAGTTCCATTTGCAGCCTCCAAAGCAGTCTTTTACCTAAGAACACTCAGGCCTCCAAGGTTAAGATAACAGTATACTCCAATGCAAAATTCTCTACCTCCCTACTTCAGGTCCCAGGGACTCTCAACTGCCAGTCACTCTTTGAACAATAAGAACAGACACTTAAATGATGATAACTAATGGCAGCAGCACTAATGTAAGAACGCTGGAACTATTAGTACTCTCATCTTCCAGATGAGAGAACTCAATAACATGATTTACATAAACTGCCTGAAGATACAGTAGAATAATAATAATGAAATCCAGGCATTGTGGACCTGAATGCTGCTACCTAGCTACTCCTCTTTGTGGCTTCTCCATTGTCTTTTCCTGCCAGTTCAGTTCTAACAGGAATAAACAGACGCTATTCAAAAGCTTTTCAAGTCTGAATGAAGATGTACCTAGGGTTGGTGTTGATGAACTTTCCCTCACTCTTCCTTAAGGAAATTTGTTCTTTCCTGCCATTTGAGAGACATGTTCTTCCTCTTCTTCTTCAAAGAGCTAAAATGCACCTTTATTTGCATAATGAAGATAGTGCAGTGAAGTACTTTCTTGCATTGTCAAGGAAATGAGCTCCAAAGGAACTTCCTTTTAGCATAGAGAAAGCTGCTGTTTTTATTTACTTGCATTTTGCATATGAATATATTTTAATTTAGTTTCAACAGGTAACTGAATTAGAAAGTGAAATTATAAAGTCATTTCTCCAAGAAAGAAGGTAGAGCTTATAAATATTAGTAATCTTAGCTGGGCACGATGACTTATGCCTGTAATCCCAGCACTTTGGGAGGCTGATGCGGGCCAATCACCTGAGGTCAGGAGTTTGTGACCAGCCTGGCCAATATGGTGAAACCCTGTCTCTACTAAAAGTACAAAAATTAGTCTCTACTAAAAATACAAAAATTAGCCATATGTGGTGGCACATGCCTGTAATCCCAATTACTTGGGAGGGTGAGGCAGAAATTGCAGTGAGCTGAGACTGCACCACTGCACTCCAGCTTGGTGAACAGAGTGAGACTCCGCCTAAAAATAAATAAATAAATAAATAAATAAATATTAATAATCTTTTTAAGAAATGATTGTGGCTATTTCTAGGTCTAATGATACTTGCTTAATCGTACTGAAAACAATGTTATTTCTTTGAATGGCAATGGAATGTAAAATATTTAAAAACGCAATTTGACTTTTTTTACTTTTTAAAATTTATGTAGCTGGGCCGGGCACCCTGGCTCATGCCTGTAATCCCAGCACTTTGGGAGGCTGAGACTGGAGGATCACAAGGTCAGGAGATCGAGACCATCCTAGCTAACACGGTGAAACCCCGTCTCTACTAAAAACACAAAAAAATTAGCTGGGCGTGGTGGTGGGCACCTGTAGTACCAGCTACTCGGGAGGCTGAGGCAGGAGAATGGCATGAACCTGGGAGGTGGAGCTTGCAGTGAGTTTGAGATTGCTCCACTGCACTCCAGCCTGGGTGACAGAGCGACACTCTGTCTCAAAATAATAATAATAATAATAATAATAATAATAATAATAATAATAATAAATAAATAAAATAAAATTTATGTAGCTGATATATTACTATAACCTCACTTGCATTTTTAAATTATTTTACTGGTTCTCTCTTTTTACTTTTATCTTACCTATGCTGTATTTTAAGTTAGTTTTATATAGACAGAATTTTAAAAATTATTTATTTATGGGGTACAAATGCAATTTGGACAATATTGTTGGCCATGTTTTTTCGTTTTTGATTTTTGTTTTTTTAACTACTCTGCCAATCTATGTTTTTTAGTTGGTTTCTATAGGCCTTTTATGTTTAACAATTTGTATGTTGTGGTTGAAGTCTACCACTTTGTTATTTGTTTCTGTTTCTTATTCCTCTGTGTCTTTTTCTTGCTTTCCAATGGGTTACATAAACATGTTAAGTTTCCATCTTAATTTATTTATAGTGTTTTAAATACAATGTTGCATCACTTAATGACAAAAATTACATTCTGAGAAATGCATTAGGCAATTTCTTCACTGTGTAACATCATATAGTGTATTCTATGTGTAAATAGAGATAGCATAACCTACTACTCACCCTAGGTTATGTGGTACAGCCTATTGATCCTAGGCTACAAACCTAAACAGCATGTTACTGTGCTGAATACTGTAGGCATTTGCAACACAACGGTAAATATTTGTGTATCTAAACATAAAAAAAAGGTACGGTAAAAAATCCAGTCAAAACATCAAAAATGGTATACCTGATTAGGGCACTTACTATAAATGAAGTTTGCAGGGCTAGGAGTTGCTCTGGGAGAGTTAGTAAGTGGTGAGTGAGCGTAAATGCCTAGGGCATCATTGTACAAAACTGTAGACTTTATAAACACTGAATTTATAAAATTTATAAAGAAACTTATTTCTTTCAAAATACATTAAACTTATCCTACAGTAACTTTTTTACTTTATAAACTTTTTAACTTATTTTTAACTTTTTGACTCTTTTGTAACAACACTTAGCTTAAAACGCATATTGTACACAGAAATACTTTATTTCCTTATATCCTTATTCTCTAAGATTTTTTTGTAATTTTACATCTTTTAATTTTTAATTTTTTTGTTGTTGTTGTTAAAAACAAAGACACAAATGCACATACTAGCGTAGGCCTACACAGGGTCAGTATGATCAACATCACTGTTTTCTACCTCCAGATCTTGTCCCACTGGAAGCTCCTCTAGGCCAATAATGCATATGGATCTGTCGACATCTATGATAACAATGCCCTCTGAAATGCCTCGTGAAGGACCACTGTGAGGCTGTTTTACAGTTGCCTATTACTTTTTTTTTTGTTTGTTTTTGAGACAGAGTCTCGCTCTGTCGCCCAGGCTGGAGTGCAGTGGCGTGATCTCGGCTCACTGCAAGCTCCGCCTCCTGGGTTCACGCCATTCTCCTGCCTCAGCCTCCCGAATAGCTGGGAATATAGGCGCCCCCCACCAGGCCTGGCTAATTTTTTGTATTTTTAGTAGAGATGGGGTTTCACCATGTTAGCCAGGATGGTCTCCATCTCCTGACCTCGTGATCTGCCCGCCTCGGGCCTATTTCTTTTAATAAGTAGAAGGTGTACACTACAATAACAATAAAAAATATGGTGTAGTAAATACACAAAAATGTAATATATTTGTTTATTATTATTACTAAGTAAAATGTACTTGTATTAGTCCATTCTCACACTACTATAAAGACACTACCCGAGATTGGGTAATTCATAAAGGAAAGAGGTTTAATTGAGTCACAGTTCTGCATGGCTGAGGAGGCCTCATGGAACTTACAATCATGGTGAAATGGGAAGCAGTCATCTTCTTCACAAGACAACAGGAGAGAGAAGGATTGTGTGTAGGAGGAGCTGTGAAACACTTAACAAAACCATCAGATCTCCTGAGAACTCACTCACTATCGTAAGAACAGTATGGCGGAAACCGCCCACATGATCCAATCACCTTCCACCAGATCCTGCCCTCAACACATGGGTATTATGAAGATTACAATTCAAGATGAGATTTGGGTGGGGATATAGAGCCAAACCATATCATTCCACCCCTGGCCCCTCCCAGATCTCACATATTTTTTACATTTCCAACCCAACATCATGCCTTCCTAACAGTCCCCCAGAGTCTTAAATCATTTCAGCAGTAACTCAACAGCCCACAGTTCAAAGTCTCATCTGAGACAAGGCAAGACGTTTTGGCCTATAAGCCTGTAAAATCAAAAGCAAGTTAGTTACTTCCTAGATACCATGAGGGTACAAGAATTGGATAAATGCTCCCATTCCAAATGGGAGAAATTAGTCAAAACAAAGGGGATGCAGGCCCCATGAAAGTCTGAAACCCAGCAGGGCAGTCATTAAAACTTAAAGCTTTAAAATAATCTCCTTGTCTCCATGTTTCACATCCAGGGCATGTTAATGCAAGGGGTGGGCTCCCATGGCCTTGGGCAGTTCCTTCACAGGCTGGCATTGAGTGTCTGTGGCTTTTCCAGGTGCACAGTACAAGCTGTTGGTGGATCTTCCATTCAGGGGTCTGGAGAACAGTGGCCCTCTTCTCATAGCTTCACTAGGCAGTGCCCCAGTGGGGACTCTGTGTGGGAGCTTCAACCCCACATTTCCCTTCTGCACTACCCTAGCAGAGGTTCTCCATGATGGCTCCACCCCTGCAACCAATCTCGGCCTGGACATCCAGGCATTTCCATACAACCTATGAAATCTAGGCAGAGGTTTCCACACCTGAATTCTTGACTTCTGTGTACCCTCAGGCCCAACACCATATGGAATCCTCCAAGGCTTGGGGCTTGCACCCTCTGAATCAACAGATGAGCTGTACATTGGCTCCTTTTAGCCACGGCTGGAGCTGGAGTAGCAGCAGCTGGGACACAGGGCACCGAGTCCTGAGGTTGCCCAGAGCAACGGGGCCCTAGGCCCAGCCCATGAAACCATTTTTCCCTCAGAGGCTGCTGGGTCTGTGATGAGAAGGGCTGCCATGGAAGTCTCTGATACGCCCAAGAAAAATTTTACCATTGTTTTGGCTACTGTAATAACATTTGGCTTCTTGTTATTTAGGCAAATTTCTGTAGCCAGCTTGAATTCCTCCCCTGAAAAATGGGTTTTTCTTTTCTACTGCATGGTCAGGCTGCAAATTTTCCAAACTTTTATGCCCTGCTTCCATTTTAAACATAAGTTCCAATTTGAGATAATGTTTCTCAAATTAAAAGTTCCACAGATCTCTAGGACAGGGGCAAAATGCTTCCAGTCTCTTTGCTAAGGCAGAGTAACAGTGATCTTTGGGCTCTAGTTCCTAATGAGTTCTTGTCCATCCAAGACCACCTCAGCTTGGACTTCACTGTCTATATCACTATCAGCATTTTGGTCAAAACCATTCCACAGGTCCCTAGGAAGTTTCAAACTTTCTCACAACTTCCTGTCTTCTTCTGAGCCCTCCAAACACTTCCAACCTCTGCCCGATACCCAGTTCTAAAGTCACTTCCTCATTTTCAGTATCTTTATAGCAGTGCCCCACTCCCAGTACCAATTTACTCTATTAGTCTGTTCTCACACTGCTATAAAGATACTACCCAAGACAGGGTAATTTATAAAGGAAAGAGGGTTAATTGACTCATAGTTCTGCATGGCTGGAGAGGCCTCAGAAAACTTACAATCATGGTGGAATAAAAGCAGTTGGCTTCTTCAAAAGGCAACAGGAGAGAATGAGTGTGTCTAGGAGAAATTTTCAAACACTTTTAAAACCATCGGATCTCATGAAAACTTACTCACTATCATGAGAACAGCATGAGGGAAACTGCCTCCAGGATCCAATCACTTCCCACCGGGTCTTGCCCTTGACACGGGAGGATCATGAGGATTACAATTCAAGATGAGATTTGGGTGGGGACACAGCCAAACAATATCAGTACTAGACAGAATTTTATGTGCTACACTTTTATATAACTGGCAATGAAGTAGGTTTGTTTACACCATCATTGCCACAAACAGGTGAGAAATATGTTAGACTATGATGTTAAGACAGCTCAGCTGCAATGTCACTAGGTAATATTCATCTCCATTATAATCTTATGGGACCACCATGATATATGCAGTCTACTGCTGAGCAAAACATCGTTATGCAGTGCATGATTGCACATGATTTTGTTTGGTTTTATTAATTGCACTGGTTAAAATAATATATGTGTAATGTCAAGATCTACTGTTAATGATGTTTTACCTCTTTGAGTGAAGTGTAGAAAACTTGTTTCCATATGAGTCTCTTTACTATCACTACTTTTTAGATATAATTATCTTAAATACTTCCTCTATGTTCCTTGAGCATCTAACCAGATAGGTCATTAATTTTTGCTTCAACTATTAGAAATGGCTTAAAAACTTAAGAGAAGTTTGATTATACATTATATTTATGCTTAATTTTACCCATTTAGATGGATGTTTGTAAAAGCTGCAAACCTTCTTCTTTTATCATTTCTTTTCTGTTTAGAGAACTTATTCTTTAAAGGTAAGTTTGTTAGCAACACATTACCTTAGCATTCTTTCATTAGACAATGTTTTCTATGTCACTTTAGTGCCTGAAGAATATTATTGCTGGGTATTGAATTTACAGTTCACAGTTCTGTTCTTTCAGTACTTCAAAAATATTATCTGTTTCCTTCCAACCTTCATGGTTTCAGATGGAAAATCTGCTGTGGTTTACATTATTGTTTTTCTGTAAGAAATGTGCCATTTTTCTCTGTTTGCTTTCAAGATTTTTAATTTTTTTTTTTCATTTCCAGAAATTGAATGTATTTGGGTGTATTCTATTTAGGGTTTGCTCTGTTTCTTGAATATTTAGGTTTATGTCTTCCATCTAATTTGGGAAGGTTGAAGTCATTATTTTTTAATAGTTTTTTAGTCCCACATTCTATCTCCTCGTCTTCTATATCTCCTGTGATTATGAATGTTAGCTCTTTTATTATTGTTCTAAAGTTTCCTGAAATGCTGTTAAATTTTTTTTTTATCGGTTTTCTTCTTCTTGTTCAGACAGTAAATTCTGTTGGCATGTTTTCAGATTCACTGATTCCATCTTCTGCTCTGTGCTCTCTTCTTTTGTGACCATCCTCTGCATCTATTATTTCCATTATTGTATTTTAATTTTATTTAGTTCATGTTTACTTTTTATAACTTATAAGTCATTATTGAATTTATTTTTAATTTTAACTTTTATTTGTTCCAAGAGAATACAATATATAATTGCTTATTTAAACACTTTTATGATGGTTTCTTCAAAATCCTTGTTAGATAATTCCAACCTCTTTTTTTTTTTTTTTTTTTTTTTTTTTTGTCTGAAACAGTCTCACTCTGTTACCCAGGCTGGAGTGCAGCGGTATGATCTTGGCTCACTGCAACCTCCATCTCCCAGGTTCAAGTGATTCTCCTGCCTCAGCCTCCCAAGTAGCTGGGATTACAGGCATGTGCCAATGCACCCAGCTAACTTTTTATATTTTTAGTAGAGGCGGGGTTTCACCATGTTGGACAGGCTGGTCTTGAACTCCTGACCTCAAGTGATCCACCCATCTTGGCCTCCCACAGTGCTGGGATTACAGGTGTGAGCCACTGCGCCCAGCCCCAACCCCTTTTTTATGTCTGTGTTGGTGTCTGTTGTCTTTCTCTCATTCAGGTTATGATTTCCTAGTTCTTTTGTCTTATAAGTGATTTTTATTGTGTCCTGAATTTTTTTTTATATTATGAGAATTTTTCTCTCTTATTATTTCGTAGATGGTTCCCTATTGATGTGTAACCTGAGAGCTGGGTGGGTGTGCGTGTTTATCTTCCTGATGGGACCTACTAATACCATCCTACCAAAAGTAGAGTACTAACTTATACTTCCTTCTTGCAGACTGGTTAGGTGGAAGTTTGTCTTCTCCCTCCACCCACTGGCAACCTCATGGCAAAAGTAGGGTACTGAGTTACATATCTTTGTTTCCTCCAAGTGAAAAAATAACCTCACTTCCCTGATGTGGTCCACTGACACCAGGGAGGGGGTGAGTAGGGGCCAACTCATACCACTTGGTTGCTTCCAAGGAGTAGGAGTGGGGAGAAGCTGTGTAAGAACAGAACTGATCATTAAAGACCCTATTATAAATTCTTGCTTTTATAGTACTTATTCTCGTGGCTTAAATATTCCACACCAATTAATCACCACGGAATATATGAGACATTATATTAATTATTAAATTTTACATGGCAACACTAACAATATTAACTCCCATTTTCTATCTCTTTAATTGAGGTCATTCTTTAGAAGTTTAAGTATAATCCATTCTTCTGTCCTACACGACTGAGTGAAAGAGCATGTAGCAGCAACATATAGTACCAGTATGTAATCCTAATGCAATGGCACACCCCAGATGACCCTTTTGTGTATTGGGATTGACCATGGTTTTTCAGTTTAATCAAAGTTTAATTGATTAAACTCGGGGTTCACATTTTCTTTCTACACACCAATATTGAAGAGAAGTACTACAAAATACATAGGAGCACTAAACTGGTAGTAATAAGAAAAACATAAAATATTTAAGATAATGTGTTGCTTTTATTTCTAATATTAGCTACTGATACAATCAAAGCACTGCGGCTCAGTTTTCTCTTTTGTAAGAGGACAAGTTTGTATTAGTTAATCTTTAAATGTCTCTACAATCTGATTCTGAGATTGTGAATAAATAGATCTAAATACTGTTATAGGTATATAAATACAGATATAAATGCAGGTATGGGTAAAATTATGGCTATGGGTCCCAGCCTTAAATTCTTATTTTTTTATAACTAATTGATGTTCAGGGATAGATTTATGTGATCTGCTCATTTGCAGGGGCCCATCACTTGGCTAATTCTTTGGTGTCATTCGTGTCAAGTTTTAAATAATTTTTGAGGAAGATGTCCTATATTTTAATTTTGCACTGAACACTGCAAATTTTGTAGCTGTTCCTGTTAATTTGTTAATGAAATTTCTCTTTAGAAACTATTAAATTAATAAGACAATAATTAAGCAAATAATTATTAAATTTTACATGGTAACACTAGCAATATTAACTCCCATTTTCTATCACTTTAATTCAGGCCATCCTTTAGAGGTTTAAGTATAATCCATTCTTATGTCCTACACAACTGAGTGTGTAGTACCAGTACGTAATCCTAATGTAATGGCACACCCCAGATGACCTTTTTGTGTGTTGGCATGGTTTTTCAGTTTAAGCAAAAGTTTAATTGATTGAAACTTGAAGTTCACATTTTTTTTTCTACACACCAATATTGAAGAGAAGTCCTACAAAATACTTATTCTATGGAAAAAAACAAAGTCCACTTTAGATCTAAAATGGTTGCATAAAATTTTGAGAATAACTTAAATGTTATATGAATGTAAGTAAAAATTTTACTGTAAACTTTGTAAATGCTAACTATAAACAGAAAACAAGTATATCTTATATAAAGAAATGTGTAGACTCTCTGTATTAATCCATTTTCACATTGCTATAAAGAATACCCGAGACAGGGTAATTTACAAAGGAAAGAGGCTTAATTGACTCACAGTTCTGCACGGCTGGGGAGGCCTCAGGGAACTTACAATCATGGTGGAAGGGGAAGCAGGCACGTCTTACATGGCAGCAGGGGAGAGAGAGCATGTGAAGGAGGCACTGTCAAACACTTGTAAAACCATCAGATCTCATGAGAACTCATTCACTATCATGAGAACATCTAGGGGAAACTGTGCCCATGATCCAATCACCTCCCAACAGGCCCCTCAACACATGGGCATTATGGGAATTACGATTCAAGATGAGATTTGGGTGACAGCACAGAGCCAAACCATATCACTCTCTGTGCCTTGTATTTCTCATACTAGTCAATGCCAACTCATTAAAATTATCTGGAGATATAACATTTTTGGGGGATTATATATTGCCACTACTGTTATATTTTTGTCAGGATAATGTAGCAATTCCCAAATAAGTCATACTTAAACCTCCACAGAAAAGATAAATAGAAATGAGAATTCCATTGCCAGCATTGCTTTGAAAAACGTTTCAGAACTTTGAATATATATACTCATAAACACACACACATACACAGATATATATTTCTGCATGTGTATATACATATATGGATACATATGTTCTTAAACTTTCTTTTAACAGAAAAATTAAAATAGAAGGAAAATAATAGAGCACTAGTTATATAACTAGTATTATATAAATAATGTTATGTAACTAGTTATATAATTAAAAATATAAGAACCTAGGTGAGAATGAGAAAGTCTAGATTTAGATTTACTACTTTTCCTAATACACACCCACACACATATATGTGTGTGTGTGTGTGTGTGTGTGTGTGTGTGTGTGTATACTGTATTTGTCTCATAGTGGCTGGAGCACATTACTACCAACTTAGTGGATTAAAACACCACAAATCTACTATCTTACAGTTCTGCAAGTAAAGACTAAAATAGAGTCACATAGGTGAAAATCAAGAGCTTCTACTCTCTTGAGGCTGCTTGGATTCTTGGCTATAACCCCTTTCTCCATCTTGAAATTCTGTCACTCCAACCTCTGCTTTCATAACACATCTCCCATCTCCTTCCTAACTCGAAGGCATCTTCTCAGTCTTACAAGAACTCCACTTGGGTTCACATTTGGAACACCCAAATAACCCATCTTAATATTCTCATCTCTAGATCCTTAAATAATTGCTTCTACAATGTCCTTTTTGTCATGGAAGGTGACATTTTCACAGGTTCCAGAAATTAGGACGTCGACATTTTAGTAAGCCATTATTCTGTCTACCACAGTGGCCTTGAATAGAAATCCTTCAGTTTTCATATACAGAAACAAAACATTCTTCCAAATGAGGAAGCTAGATTGGGAAAAAAAAAAGTCAGCCACACAGGTCTCCCCATTAAAACTTAAAGATGGTTACATATTTTATTCTGAGTTAAAATGGAGAGTCTTCCTATATAACTCTCTTTCCACTGTATGATTTATCACTTAATAGCTCTCCCTTTCCGTTGTATGATTTGTCACTTAATATCTCTCTCTTACTTGAAGTCAGAGAACAGCAAACAGTTTGCAAAATATATAAATAGTCTATAAGTTGTGGTCCAAATAGTTCTTAGAATTCAGCTACATCTAAGTACACAATTACTTATTTAAGCTTGATTCAGTGAAACAGATTTTCAGTTGAGTTTCTTAATGGGAATGACCAGTCACATTTTTCAAATTTGGCTTTATGCATAAATTGACAAATTATTTATAATTTGAAACATCTGGGCTCATTTTTTAAAAACAACTCATAAAATAAGAAATCATTTTATTGGTTCAAGCACGCATGCTATTAAATGACTCATCTTAATTTTTATCTTTTCATAAATGTTGAAAAATCTCAAGAAACCGTTATGTTGTCCTAAAAATGGGCAAGCAAGGTTAATTTGTTTTTGATGTTTAGATAGTTAGGTTATTTCTCATTTTTCTTTTAGGGATTACGTTGCTATCCTAAAGCTTGACATTGGTTAGAGTCAGCCAATGTCAAATTTTTACCTATAGATAGTCTTAGAAAGATATTGCAAATTAGTGCTGCTTCTAGTAGCTAAAATAACCTGCAGCTAGCTGGCAGGCAGCAGTGAATATTTTAAAAGGTGTACCAAATTACATTTAGATTTTCAGTTCCTTTTGAAGTGAAAAGAATATTCAAAGCTTGGAAGTCTTTGACTCTCATAAGCCTAGTAGATTTCAAGTATAAACATAGATTTAAAGATAGTTTACAGACAAATTGTGGATTTTATGTTATAATCTCAGATTAATGATTTTTTCCTTTTTGTGATTTTTTTCCCAAAGTAATTGTAAAGGACTGTGTGTGTGTGTGTGAGAGAGAGAGAGAGAAACAGAGAGAAAGAAACAGAGATAGAGACATTGTCCAAATGTACACGTAAGATTTTCTGTGACAATTACACATGGATTATCTAGTAACAAGTTGAACTACATGAAGCAATTGTATATCATCAGATATATACTATATGAAACAACTGTGTATAATCAGATTTATACTACATGAAGCAACTATATATAATCAGATTTACACCACTTTCTGAAGAAAACTACAATTAATTGGATACTAAAGTGGTTTCTGAAAGCCTAATTATTCTCAAGTCCATATGTGTGTTTGGTGGGATGGCAGTGAGTTTTTGGAACAAGCTTAACTGTTTTTTGAAATAGTTGTGAACTTCACAAGTTAGATGAAATACATGTCACAAGAAATTTTCCATGTGGAGACAATTTAGTAGTATTTCCACATTTATGTTCAATAAGTGTAAATTATAAAATGATATTTTTGCTCAAAAATAAATGAAAATAACACATTTGAAACAAAAGTAGACTCACCCACCCTCCAGAATGATATCCAAAGACCAAAGGAAGTTTGGCCTTTTTTAGGCATTTGAGACTTGCTTTCAGTAAATCATATCATCATATTTATTTCTATAACTTTTCTTTTTTTTTGAGATGGAGTCTCGCTTTGTCACCCAGGCTGGAGGGCAATGGCGTGATCTTGGCTCAGTGCAGCTTCCGCCTCCTGGGCTCAAGTGATTTTCCCACCTCAGCCTCCCCAGTAGCTGGGATTACAGACGTGAGCCACTATGCCTGTTTATTTATTTATTTATTTTTTAAGTAGAGATGGAGTTTCACCATGTTGGCCAGGCTGGTCTAAAACTCCTGACTTCAAGTGATCCACCCACCTTGGCCTCCCAAAGTGCTGGGATTACAGGCGTGAGCCACTGGGCCCGACCTCTGTAACTTTTTATGTTACTGTTTATCATGAGTACGCACAAAAAACCACTTTTTGAATATCTTTTTCTCAGATATTTAATTATTAAGAACAAGGCAAAAATGTGTATACATTAGGTAAAAACTGCGAAAGCATGTCCAAAGAAGAAATAAAGTTCTGTAAATACTCAGAATCAACAGTTGAATAGGTATTCAGGTTTTCAGAGTTAAAAGCACAAATGCATATTTTAGTCTCTTTTCATTTTATTTTAAATATGACTATCCATAGAATGACTATTGCACAGTTTCATATAACTCCCTTATTTGTGTATTTAGTAACTGAGATTCATTATTTTTTAATTAGTACCTAAATAATTACTAGTAATCTGAAACTAATTTTCTTTTATGAGGGCAAAATGCTTTTTCTTTTAATAGGAAAAACCAAAAAGGAAGTTAGTTTAAGTATTTTTTAAATAAAAGAAATTGACAAAATAAAAAGCATGTTAAATTTAATTGTAACCCTGATGTATGTAAAACCTTTATTAAAAATATTTTTCCAAAGTTCTTATTAAGCTTTAATTAGCTATTTGTATATATTACCTTACTGGCATTTTAAAAGTATAATTATTACATATTGTGTGGAAAGATTTAAACATTCAGAAAATATAAAACTCAGTGCAACTATTTTTTCCTACTCTTCATGTATTATAATTCAGTCTTTTTGATAATTTTATATATATAGAAGGTATGATATTTATATTACATTTAAAATTTAGTACAACTTTTATTAAAGTGTACATATTATTTATACAATGCTTTTTTCTTTTCTATATCTATACAGCTTACCCATTTTTGAGAAGGCTGCATTTTTTTCTATAACATGTATATGTTGTACTTTACTTGTCTATATCCCCATTAAGAGATATGTTGCTTCCAGGTTTCATTATTATAAATACTGTTTCAGTGAACAGCTTTCAATATACATCTTTGTGCCCATGTGACAATAAAAGTATTTTTGTATGCATCTGCAAGTATAATAGTTATAGTGTCCATGCATTTTCAATTGGGTAGTTGTTTCAAAATAGCCCTACATTTTTCAAATAATTCTAATTCAAAGGACTGCTCCCCTTTCAAACCTGGTAAATATTGAAGTCCTTAATGCTTTTGCCAGAATTAGGCTGAATTGACAGAGCACTGATATGTAGAAGATATATATATATATATATATATATACATGTATATTATATATATAATATATTATAAATATAATATATATATATAAAATTCTTAAAATTTAGCAAGTAACTGAACAACAAAAATGACAGATAAAAGAAGCAGGTCATGCATAGCCTATCTGCCTGAGATTTATTTAACCCTTCTTCAGAAGAGGCTTTGATTCTTGTCTCTCTGTGTCTACCTATAGACAGCATTTCTCCCAGGAAGCTTGCCCTGACCTCCTAGAATTGGTTATGTACCATTTATATATTTTTCATATTCCACTGTACATAACTCATAACAGAAATTATCACAAGGGAACAGCTGTGGTTTTATTGTTATGTCTAGCTATCCAGCTATCATCTTCACCAGACTGTAAGCTCCTTGAAGGCAGAAGCCAGATTTATCTTCATGACCTCTGTGTTTTAGATGAGGTCTCAGAGATAGAGGTCAGAATTTTCCCTCTAGGTAAATTAATTAGATTAACCTCAACTTATACAAAACAGTAGTCATTAAATTTATCCCCAGCCATCAGGAGCTTAACTACTCTGGAGAGAGAGCCAGGTGTTGGAGTAGGCAATTAAGACATCAAGACAAAAGGACATTAACAAACCTTTGAGGTTAAACTGGAAAAAGCCCTGACGGTCCAGTCCCCATCCTTTTTTTCCTTCATGAAACAGCTCTATCAAGGATCACATGGGTCAGCACAGATGTGGAGTTGTCTCACTATCAAAGGAACCCTGAACAACAGGCTCCTGCCTGCAGTTTTATGGAAGGTCAGGAAAAGGCTGGGAGCGGAAAAGCACTGAGTATTGAATCAGAAGGAAGACAATTGTCTTCAAGACTCCTCCTCCTCTCCCCATGAAAAGGAGGTCTTGGGCAAACATGCCTGGGGAAGGTCTGCCAAGGTCCCACAGTGGAGAGGCCTCCAGGGGAGGCACCAGTCAAGTGATGCTGATCTGTGTGTGAGCATGGCCCTGCAGCCCTTACTGAAACTGCCATTAGAGGACTATGCACTAGTGTGGGGAGGGCAGCTCTCCCTGTGGGACCCACTTGGTCAAGTCTTTGTCATTGTTTATGGATGGGCCCAAAAATCACATATAGGATTGAGTCTGGGGCTGAACTCTTTACTGCTCTGTCTGTATTCCCTGTCTTGGTTGACACCTAATACATGACTAAGAAACTAAGAAATCATTTTAGACGTCGTTTTTGTGTCTGTGTTTTATGCTTTGTTGGCTTGAAAACTTCATCCAATAAAACTTTAGTTATTTTTATTACCATTTCTTCCTTTATGACCCCACAGCATCCTCCATGTGCCAGGGTCCAAATCATCTTTAACCCGGACTATTCTATCAGTACCCAAATATATTCTTTCATCAAAATATATTCTTTCTCTTCTCTGGCTGTAATCTCATTCATTTCCAGGCTACTTCTTTTCAAACTAAAAAGCAAATATAATCACACTATTCTCTTTCTTCAAACACTTTCCCAATTCCTAGAGTAAAATCCCCCTTTTATAACATATAAGGCCTCAGTGACCTACCCTCAGGACTTCTTTAATTATTCTCCCATATTGTCCTATTATGTACCTGTTCCATCATCCTTACAACCCTCAGAACTCCCTAATCTGTTTTAATGCCACATTGTTATGCTCTTAATTTCCTTTGATAAAATGATTCTTTCCATTCATAAACTAGTTGATTACCACAATTTCTTAAGTATTCTATTGAAGTTTATCTTATTAGTCCATTTCACACTGCTATAAAGATACTACCTGAGAATGGATAATTTATAAACAAAAGAGGCTTACTTGACTCACAATTCCACATGGCTGAACTTATAAGTGAACTTATAATTAAACTTATAATCATGGTGGAAGGTGAAGGGAAAGCAAGGCAAGTCTTACACTGTGGCAGGTAAGAGAGAGAGCATGCAGGGGAAACTGCCACTTATAAAACCATCAGATCTCCTGAGAACCCCCTCACTATCACAAGAACAGCATAGAAAACCACCCTTTTGAGCTAATCACCTCCCACCAGGTCCCTCCCCATGACACATGGGGATTACAATTCGAGTTGAGATTTGGGTGGGGACACAGAGCCAAATCATAACATGTATCTTCTTTGCCAAGATTTTCCTTACAACGCAAAGTAGATTGACATATTTTAATTTCTTCCATCCCACCCCACCATAATATTCTTACCTCTATGACAGTGCTCATCAAAATTTGTAGCTATTATTTGTTTAAATGACTTCATTATGCTTCTTAAGAGGCATAAACTTTCTGCTATATTCATCTTTGTATGCCTGTCACACATTACATTGGCTGAGACAAGGTAAATATTTAATACATATCTATTAAATAAGAAACTTAAAAAAATAAAAGAGTGAATGAATAACTGTATCTAGGAAGTATGAAAGTGACTTATCTTTTAGCATTTTTCATCAAGGAATTAAGAAATGTGTGGGGAAAAAGTTAAGA
Source organism: Homo sapiens (assembly GCF_000001405.40). Classification (NCBI taxonomy): domain Eukaryota; kingdom Metazoa; phylum Chordata; class Mammalia; order Primates; family Hominidae; genus Homo; species Homo sapiens. The sequence goes on from NW_003315917.2 coordinate 1,102,362, forward strand.
GGCCCCAGTTAAAATGGCTTTTATCCCAAATTCAGGCAATAACAAAAGTTGGCGAGGATATACAGAAAAAGGAACCCTTGCACACTGTCAGTGGGAATGTACATTAGTATGACCCTTAAGGAGAACAGTCTGGAGGTTTCTCAAAAAGCAAAAATTGAGCTATCATATGATCCAGCAATCCCACTCCTGGGTGTATAACCAAAAGAAAGGACATAGTATATCAGAGAGATATCTGCACTCCATGTTTATTTCAGCACTACTCACAATAGCCAAAATTTGGAATCAACCTAAGTATCCATCAAGAGATGAATGAATAAAGAAAATATAGTACATATACAAAATGGAATACCATTCAGCCATAAAAAACAATGAGTTCCTGTCATCTGCTACAATGTGGATAGAACTGGAGGTCATTATGTTAAGTGAAACAAGCCAGGCGCAGAAAGACAAACTTCGGATGCTCTCACTTATTTGTGGGAGCTAAGGCTTAAAACAATTGAACTCATGGAGATAAACAGTATAAAGGTTAACAGGCTGAGAAGGGTAGTGAGGGTTTGGGAGGAAAGCGGGGCAGACTAATAGGTACAAAAACATAGTTAGAAAGAATGAATAAGACCTAGCATTTGCTAGCACAACAGGGTGACTATAGTCAAAAATAATTTAATCGTACATTTAAAAATAACTAGAAGAGTATAATCAGATTGTTTGTAACACAAAGGATAACTGTGTGAAGTGATGGATATTCAATTTACCCTGATGTGATTATTATGCATGTATCAAAACATCTCATGTACTCCATAAATTTTCAAAAGAAGTATGTATAGCATAACGCTTAAAATAATATACTGTAATAGTCTACAACTTGGCAAGAAATTAAGCTTTCGTTTATTTTTGTCACAACAGGTATACTACATGCAGATTAAAATATATATTTTATATATATATATATATATATATATATACCATCTATTTTTTAAGGGCATTTTTCATAACCTTGAAATATAAACAATAAAAATTATGAAGCAATAATTTATTTTTTTAAAAAAATCCACTTGCCAAACAAACAAGATACTCCTTCCAGGATGTCAGTAATATCAAGATAAAATGCCAGAGAATTTTAGCTCAGTATAGGAAATCAAACAGCTAATTTTTAACTTTGATGGAGGAGAAAATTAGATAAATTCTGAAAATTCATCCATTTATTTTTCTCTCTCCATATATGTTAACAACAAGCAAACACATTAAATCCTTAAATTTGGTTACTAAGTTCACAAATGTCATGGACACAGTGAGGTAATATTTACAGACTGAATACTGATTTACTATCCTTTGAGTTTATTTCTACATTTCATAGAGTAGATGCTCTTTATAGATAAACTCTTTTGGAAAAAGTCCAGATAACTGGATAATTAACTATTAATATCACTTTTTGAAAATTAAATAGTAATATGTTTCTTCCAGGAAAAATTATTTAACAGGTTTTATTCAGACTACTAAGACATATGAAAACCTGACATTAACTCTTTGGTTTTCTAAAGATTCTCTTCAGGAAAATATGCCATCAGTCTTTCTAAATGTATTCAATTTTATCTCAGCAGTCTTGAGCCTCCATCTACATGATGTTAATATACCTCCAAACAGCCATTCACATTTCTTAAGGTGATGAAATATGTATTACCTATAATATTCTTAACTAAGTTATTGTAAGGCATATTTATCATGCCACATAATCCTGGGCGAAAATTGGATATAATAACAATTCCCAAAAATGCCTCTTGACAAAGAGTTGGAATTCAACTTTTTTCTTCTACTGCTAAGGATGTTTGCATCATGTCTTTGGAAAAATGTATCTCATAATTGCAAAGCCCTAATTCCTGATGCTCCATTAACAATATTACTCAAGATATTGTTGCTGATGTGGCTGCTTATATTATTCCCAAGTGAATTTGTAGATATTTAGCAATAGCTGAGGCCATCTACAACGTAAATTCCTATCTATGTTACTCCTCTTGAGAATCTACTCTTGGTACATTTAGCAAAGGAAGACACTTTTAGCAACACAGCAGTCCCCCCTTACCAGCGGTTTCACTTTCCCCAGTTTTAGCTATCAGGGGTCAATCATGTTTTGAAAAATATTAAATAAAAGTTATAGAAATAATAACTTTGAAATTGTGTACCATAACGTGATAAATTCTCAGGTTGTCCATCCTACTCCCTGTTTTCTTTATCACAAAAAGAAAAGTAGATAATAATAAGGTATTTCAAGAGAAAGAGAGACCACATTCACATAACTTTTACTACAGTATATTGTTATAATAATTCTATTATTAGTTATGTTCATATAATTATTAGTAAAAGGAATATAATTATATTCCTATATAATTATAGAAGTATACTACTCCTATACATAATATATTAGTATAACTAATATAATTCTATTATCATTAGTAGTGTTAGTTTAACTAATAAACTAATAGAATTATTAAACTAATATAATTAGCCTATTAGTTTAATACTACTCCCATAATGAGTATATTAGTTTAAACAAATACTACTACTATAATAATTAGTAGTAGTTTAACTAATAAACTACTATAATTATTAGTTAAATTTCACTATGCCTAATTTTTAAATTACAGTCTATTATAAGTATGTATGTGTAGGAAAAATAGTACATGTTTACTATCCACTGTTTCAGGCATCAACTGGGGGTCTTAATACATATCTTTTTACAGATAAGGGTGGAGCTACAGTTACCTTCCAAAAGGTAGTATTGCCACTGCCATTGTTGCCTGCTAATGTAAATTCCAAAGAAGTAGATGATTTTGGGAAGGGCAGAAAATAAAAATTTTCATCAATATTAATGATTTTGCCATTAATGCAGATTACCATTGCCATAGTCTGAGAAGTGACATGAAACTTGAGATTGCTAGAGCTCATAGGACAGTAGAACAGTGAAGACATTGAGGTTTAAAGTGTTAATGTTATGAAGATAGCTAAAAACAGGACTTGATCAGTATAATCCTCTACCTAACACAACTTGGAATGGGGCAGAGAGTAAAGAAATGGACCTCGGTAAGGACGTGCATGAGCACTAAGAGATAGTGCTTGATGCAAGAGCAATAATAACAACAATAACCACAACAAAGGTATATTATTGGGAGCATTAGAGAAGAACAACAGAAAACTAAAAATGTTGTGGATGTTACCTCCAAGCAAGAAAATGGGACTAGGGACACAGGCCCTTTTTGTTTTTTGCTTGCACATTCTGTAATTAGAAAATGTTATTTTATAGACACACATATCAAATAATAGGAGAAAAAAGATATTTCATGTAAGATTAGTTTATTCTCAATATTCTGAATTAGAATATTGGATTAAAACAATATTTAGAATGATAGAAGCTGGATTAAAACAACTTTAAAACAAGCATTTGTACTGCATTGACATCTCTATACAAGTTGCTGTCATACTAGTTGAGAAGAGCTTGGGGACCTGGACTTGGGAGATTTAATGGACCGATAAAATTACTCAGAGGGGTAACCTTATAAAGAATTCTGAAACCAAGAATTTGGAAGTCTAAGAAAAGAAGGGACAACAATGCAAGTTGTCCAACCAAAACCTCTCTTCCCTACTTTCTTGTTTCTGAATGCCATTTTTGTTTGAAAGAGCAATGTGTCCTGCCAAATAACTACAATGCCCAGTCTCCTTGCCCTTGTGGCTGGTGACATGTTATAGTCCTGTAGAAAGATACGTGGGCTGAAGTTGTTGAAAAGGACACTTTGTTCTTCAACTTCTCCCTTCCTGCCCTGATATAAAAACATGATAACACACTACTTATTACTCTAAATATGCATAACTTTTATATGCACTAGGAAGTGTATATATCAATACTTAGAGATACAATTTCAGAAATGGTCAAATTAAAGAAAACAAGTTAAAAGTTTACAAGTTCTTATAATAATTATAGAGGCAAGATAAATTACAGATTCAATTTTTTAAACTAGTAATTTAATTAATCACATCATGGATAATGTTTAGAGCTAAAATTTATTCTGTATTTACATAATCAATATTGTAATTAAAAACCACTGAGTATTTTTTGTTGCAACTGAATGTTGTGTCCCCTCAAAATTCATGTGATGAAAACTTAACCTTCAGTATGATGGTAGCAGGACCTATAAGCTGCATATTTATAATGAACTTTGGGAAGTAATTAGCTTATTATGGTGGAGGCTTCATAAATTAGATTGGTGCCCTTAAAAATGACTCTTGAGAGCTCTTTCTGTCCACCATGTGAAGCTGCATTGAGAAGGCAGCAGTCTGAAACCCAAGAGAGCTCTCTCACCAGAACCCAATTATGCTGGCACTCTGCTGTTGGACTTCCAGCCTCCAGAACTGTGAGATGTGCATTCCGTTATTTAAAAGCCACTCAGGTTATGGAACTTTATTAAAGCAGCCTGAACGGCTGAAGATGGAAATTGATCATGAGAAGTGGGAGTGCTGTTATTATAAATACCTAAAACAAAGTGAAAATGGTTTTGGGCTCAGTGATTGGCAGAGATTGATGAGGTTTTATGCAAAATGCTAGATTACTGTGGAAGAAATTTAAAAGCCAATTCTCGTGAGGGCTCGGAAAGAAATATAGAAGAAAACGCTGTCTTCTCAGAAAATAATTAAATAATCATGAACAGAATATTGATAAAATATGGACAGTAAAGGTCATTCTGTTGGAGTCTCAAATGGAAATGAAAATGTTATTGGAAAATGGAGCAAAAGCAATCCATGTTGAAAAGTGGAAACAAACTTCTTTGAATTGTATTCATGCTCTTGTGTTTTGCGGAAGGTGGAACTTGTGTGCAGTGAAATTGGACATTTAACCCAGCAGATTTCTCAGCAACATGTAGAAGCAGCAGCTTGGTTCCTTCTGAATCCGTAGAGTCAAATGTAGAAAAAGAAAAAGGTTTGAAGATGGAATTGTTAAGGAAAAAGTAACCATAATTTAAGATCTGGGAAATTCTCAGCCTGTCCATATTGCAAAAAAAGTGAGAAAGTGTGTTCTGAAGAGAACATGAAGAGTGTTTCGGACCCTTACTGATTTGATTAATATGGGTGTGAACCACAGGCTTAATCAAACATCTCAACACAAACCATGACTAGAAATGGGATTATACCAGGAGAAACACTGCCAGTTGGGACTAAAGGAAACAGAGATAATGGGACGAAATAAAGGAAGACATTCGGAATGCTTAAGCCCTACAGGCCCGGACCCGAGAGCTATTCAGTTGTGGATGTGTGCTATTCTCTCCTTCAAAATTACGGAAGAAGGGGCGCAAAGGGGATTTGGAGACAATTACAGCTGCTGCTTTTACCAAAAATCCAGAGGGTATGGCAAGGTGGGCCAAGGTTACCTCCATTTTGATTTCAAAGGACAGAAATGATGCTCAGAGGAGCTGTGTGGGAGGGCCATCCAGTGAAGCCCTGGGTGAGTGACCTCAGCCCTGACAAAAGACTGTGCCATAAGTGGGTCCAGTGCATAGAGTCAGCAGCGAGCAGTGCCTCACTGAGCTGTCGGGGACTGTCTGGAAGGTGAGTCATCAAGCCAAAGAGGATGCTTCTTGAACCTTAGGGTTTGATGGAGTTTGCCCTGTTAGGTTTTAGATTTACTTGGGATCCAGCATTCATATATTTTATTTTTTTCGAATAGTGGTTCTTTTTGGAATGGGAATGTTTATCCTATGCCTGTCTCACCATTGTATTTTGAGAGTTCATGTTGTTTGATTCCACAGGTTCACAGATGAAGAGAAATTTTGTGAGAATGAACTGTACCGTGAAGCTCACCTGCATCTGATTTAGGTAATATTTAAATAAGACCTTGGACTTTAGACTGGACTTGAGGCTGGAATGAGTTAAGATTTGTGGATTTGTTGGAATGGAATGACTGCATTTTGCATGTGAAGACATGAATTTTGGGGAACCTGGGGCAGAATGTTACGGACTGAATTTTTAAAGTGTACCCTCAAAATCTGTATATTGAAATCGTAACTGTCAATGTAATGGTATTAGTAGTGGGACCTTCAGGAGGTAATTAGGTTGTCATAGTAGAGGCCTCATGAATAGGCTTAGTGTTCTTATAAAAGGGACCTAAGAGAGCTCTCACTTCTTTCCCCATGTGCTTATACAAAAACCCAACAGTCTGCAACCGCAAAAGGGCCCTCCCCAAAACCAGAACATCCTGGCACTCTGACTTTGGACTTCCAACCCCTAGAACAGTAAGAAATACTTTTTTTGTTATTTGTAAGCCACTCAATCTATGGTATTTTGTATAGCAGCCCAAACTAAGACACTCCTCTACACTACAGTGTACACCACATTCTTCTGCCTCTTGGTATGCTTCAGTCACATTGAACTATATTTTGTTTACTAAACATGGCAAATTTATTACTGCACTATGGTTTTGCCATATAATTTTTCCTGTCTTTTCAAACAGAAATTATTTCACAGCATACGCAGCTATAGGCAATTATCTAGCTTATGTATAAAATTACTTTCCTGATATTTGTCTCATTTTTTGTTTTTAAATGTTTTAAATAAACAAATAATAATTGTTTTGAGGGGTACAGTATTATGTCTTCGTATATATTTATATTGTGGAATGATTAAATCAAGCTGCTTAACACATCTCTTATGTCACATATTTATCTTTTTGTTGTGAGAACACTGAAAATAGACTTTTTAGCAATCGAAAAAAGGCAAACCCTTAAAAGTAGAGAGTAGAATGCTAGTTAATGCTGGAGGCAAGGGATAGGGAATGGGGAGATGTTGTTCACAGGGTACAGTTTCAGTTAGACACAAAGATTGAGTTTTAGAGATTGACTTTATAGCAGAGTGACTATATTTAAAAATGACTTCTTGTACATTTCAAATTTTCTATTTAAAATACACGTAGTATCTGTATTCCCAGTTCTTAAAACATGACCTATTAAATAACAGATTTGCAAGACTGAATGATTTTTTTTTACCTTGTCCTGATCTCGATTTTTTTTAAACTTTATCTCATTAATTGCTAATTCTCTCTTTATGAATGTTAAATACTTAAAATAGCACCAAACATAACAAAACAAAACAAAAACAAAATTTGTTTTTTATTTCAAATGGCATGTTCCATTGCGTTCTAAGACTGGACTGTCTTGGAGATAAAGGAGACTTCATTATTTTATGTAATATTCCTTTGAGAAATCCTGAGCTTTGTGCAAAAATGACATACTTCATTTTTTTTTTGCATAATTTTGTCACTCCATAGAGCCCAGATCGAGTTCCTAAGTTCTCACTAAGGCACATGGGTCTAATTCCATTACATTTTTGGCCTGTGTCAATTAATTTTCTTTTCTCAGATAATAAATTTACACTCCTATTCCACTTCTGAGCAGTTAGACATTTTCAGCATGGAACATTCTATTAAAATGAAATGGCAAATTGCCTTGTAGCACACACATTTTCAAAGAATGTTTTGTCTGATAATGTAGTTCTTATGAGTTTCTTTCCAAAGTAATCCATTTACACAAAATACATTATTAATTTTGTGCATTTACAAACTACACATAATTTCAAAGTGATGTCATTGTTCCACAAATACATCTAGGTTTCAAAGTGATTGATTAAATTCTGTTTAAAATTTTGCACAGAAGTGCAGTATATAATCACATTTTATATCCCTCTGTGCAGGATATAGTTTTCTAAATCATACTCCGTTGTCAGGAGCATGTTCATCTTCCATACAGAACACACTGACTGAAAATAAGATCAAGTCTACACATTTGGGATATAAATTTTTGAGATTACTGCTCTTGGTATAATATATCTCTCTTGTACTTGAGCCTCTAGATCTTGCTGTTTTTAACACTTTTGTGCTCGCAAGATTTACGCTTCTGTATACTTTGTTTATATTCAGCAGCTAAGTATATTTTGTCCTGTTATCATGACTCAACCTGTGATTTGTTTCAAAAGTACAAGTAAGATTTTAAACATAATTATAGTGTAATCTCTTTAAATTTTGCTGCATTATCACTCAGAATGAGAAAAATATAAATTAAAAGTGTGTGCACATGTATACACATTGTTCAATATACAAACTTAGGTATCATGTTAGATTCATCACGATTTGAAAATGAAATCTGATTATAATACTTGCAAGATGACTTACAAGTTAATATTTATATGTACACTTACAATTTTTATAATTTTTAAAACCATCCAATATGTTAGTTTTCTTTGATTTCTAATGATAACAGTAGAAATATCTGGCCCTGGTTATCACATCTGGTTGTTATGATCAATAGAAACGATATATGCAAAAGCAAATACATTTTAAAACTTTTTAATATTAATTTTTATTGTTACATATTCTGAATAATGCAGTTTTATAGTTATTATTATAACATGACACAAATGGTAGAGATTTTGATGCCTACATTTTTAATAAAAATGTTCAAAACCATATTTCACAAGATGTATCATGCTGTAAGGTTGCAACAGCCCTCTCAAATAGAGTTCTGCCTTTCTCTTGCCATTTAAACTAATGCTATCTGAGAGTGCAACAGAAGGCCCTCATTACATGCTGGTATCTTGATCATTGACTTCCTTGCCTACAGAACTATCAGAAAATAATTTTCTATTTTTTATAAATTACCCAGTCTCAGGTATTTTGTTACAGCAGCACAAAACAGACTAAGACATAAAGTGTAAAATTATCCTTCCATATTGCTGCAAGTGAAATGATGTTATTTTTTATAGCTGTGTAGTATTCATTGTGCGTGTATGTGTGTGTATATATGTATATATGTATATCACATCATTTTCTTTATCCAGTTATTTGTTGATGGACACATGTTGATTCAATATCTTTGGTATTATGAATATTGCTGCTATAAATAAATGAGTGCAAATATCTTTTCTGGTATAATGATATTTTTTCTTTTGGGTATACACCCAGTATAGGATTGATAGAGTGAATTGTGGCTCTTTAATACTTGAAAAAATTTTCATACTGTTTTAATAGAGGTGGGACAAATTTACATTCCTTCTAATTATACTATAAGGCTATAGTAACAAAAACAATATGATAGTGATATAAAAATGGACACAATACTCAATAGAGCAAAATAGAAATTCCAGGAATAAAGTGACAAAGGCACTTTGTCACTTTATTAGTGGATATTTATAAAGGGACCTACCTACAGTCAATGGATGTTTGACAACATTGAAAAAAACATACACTGGGAAAAGGATATCCCCTTCAATAAATAGTGCAGGGAAAATTGGAAAGCCACATGCAGAGGAATAAAACTGGGCCCCTATCTGTTGCCATCCACAAAATTAACTCAGGATGAATTGAAGAATTAAATATAATACCTGAAGATATAAAAGTACTCATAGAATACCTGGAAAAACTCTTCTAGACATTGGCCTTGGCAAAAAATTTGTGACTAAGACCTCAAAAGCAAATTTAGCAAAAACAAAAGTAGACAAATGGGACTTAATTAAACAAGAAAGTTTCTGCACAGCAAAAGAAATAACTGAGAAAACAGATAACCTGAAGAATGTGAGAAAATATTTGCAAACTATGCATCCAACTAAGTACTAATATCCAGAATCGACAAGAAATTCAAACAACTCAACAACAACAACAAAATAGATAACCCCATTAAAAAATGGACAAAGTACATAAACAGGCATTTCTCAAAAGAAGACATACTAGTGGACAGCAAACATATGAAATAATGCTCAGTCTCATCATCAGAGAAATAAAAATTAAAACCACAACGAAATGTCACCTTATACTAGTCAGAATGGCTAGTTTTTAAAAGTCACAACACATCAGGTATTGATGAGAATGCAGAGAGAAGTGAGTGAATCCTTATATAGTATAGGTGACATTTTTATTTATAGAATATCAAAATAGTTACTTAAAATTCATTTGAATTATAAAATATTAAAATGTAGATTTATGAATACTTTGTACTTTCTAAAAGTTTAACCACAATAAAAATCCAAACTACCACTGTTGTGTCCATAATAATTCATAATTGTATGTGATGATGTTGAGAAATCTTCCTAAATATTAGGATGAGTCCCTCATTTATTTTAATGAAAATATCATTCTTAAAAGCATGTCAAGGAATATAGCTCAATAATTCAACAAATAACATTTGCAAATTGATAATCCATGGTTCAAAGATGTCAAGATGAACTCAAAGTCTACAGGGATACCCTTTTGATTCAAGGAAATAATGTTACCCTAAATGAGAGAAGATAGGGAAGACCATGTCAAATGAATCACTTTTTGATGTGGTTTGGCTGTGTCCCCACCCAGATCTCATTTTGAATTTTAGTTCTCATAATCCCCATGTGTCATGGGAGGCACCTGGTGGGAGGTAATTGAATCATGAGGGCGGTTACCCTCCGTGCTGTTCTTGTGATAGTGAGTGAGTCTCACAAGATCTGATGGTTTTATAAGGGGATTCCACATTTGCTCGGCTCTCATTCTTCTCCTTCCTGCTGCCATGTGAAGAAGGACTTGATTGCTTCCCCTTCCACCATGATTGTAAGTTTCCTGAATGTTCCCCAGCCGTACGGAACTGTTAGTCCATTAAAGTTCTTTTCCTTATAAATTACCCAGTCTCGGGTATTTCTTCATAGCAGCATGAGAACAGACTAATACACACTTCAATATTGATTTACATTTCTATGATCATCAGTGATCTTGAGTATTTTTTAATGTTTGTTGGCAACCTGCATGTCTTCTTTTGATAAATGTTTGTTTATGTCATTTGCCTACTTTGTAATGACATAATGTGTTTATTATTTATTGGGTTCCATGTAGATTCTGGATATTAGTACTTCGTTAGATGCATAATTTGTGAATATTTTCTCCTGTTCTGTAGGTTGCCTGTTTACTCTGTTGATTATTTCCTTTGCTGTGCAGAAGATTTTTAGTTTACTTAGGTCCCATTTGCCTATTATTATTTTTGTTTCATTTGCTTCTGATGACTTAGTCATAAATTCTTTGTCAAGGCTGATATTCAGTAAAGTTTTCCTAGGTTTTCTTCTAGGAATTGTATAGGTTTTTACATTTGAGTATTTAATCAATCTTGAGTTAATTTTTATATATGGTGAGATATAGGAATCCAGTTTTACTCTTGTGTATACGGATATCCATTTTTTCTAGTACAATTTATTGAAAAAGGTATCCTTTCCACATTGTTTATTTGTGCACGCTTTGTTGAAGATTAGTTGGTTGTAGGTATGTGGCTTTATTTCTTGGTTCTCTATTTAATTTTATTAAACTATGTATCTGTTTTTGTATTGGTACCATGCTGTTCTTGTTACTATAGGTTTGTAGTATAATTTGAAATGGGGTGAAGTGCTGACTCCAGCTTTGTTCTTTTTGCTTAGAATTGCTTTGGCTATCTGGGTCATTTTTTCAATTCAGAATTTCATATACACTTTGGGATTGTTGTTTTCTAATTCTGTGAAAAATGACATTGGTAGTTTGATAGAAATTGCACTGAATCTTTAGATTGCTTTGGACACCATGGTCATTTTTAATTTTTTTTAATCCATGAACATGGGATATTTTTCCATTAGTTTGTTTTATTTCAGGTTTCTTCCACCCATCTTTTGTAGTTCTTATTGTAGAAATATTTTACCTCCTTGGTTAAACGTATTTCTCAGTTATGTGTGTGTGTGTGTGTGTGTGTGTGTGTGTGTGTCTATTGTAAATGAGATTGAGTTCTTGATTTTGTTCTCAGCTTGAATATTATTGCTATATAGAAATACTACTGACTATTGGACATTGACTTTGTATTCTGAAACTTTATTGCAGTCTTTTGCCAAGTCTAGGAGTCTTTCAGAGTCTTTAGGGTTTTCTTTGTATAAGACCATGCCATCTCTTAATGTAACTTCTATCCCAACTTTTGTGGTAATTTTTTTCTTGCATTTTTCATAATTTTATTTTCTAATTTGTTTATCCAGAAATACCATTTAGTTCTGTTTGGTATTAGACTTGAAAACAGTGCAAATTTTCTTTCTTAATAAATAATGAAAATAAATTTCGTTTTTGAAATTCATCCATGTTTTTGCTTAGTTCATTCATTTTTACTGATGTATTGAGTAGTCTTAAGTTACCAATTTCATTTTTAATAGTTATGCTTTTTCCAAAAATTTTATAATAATTAGTAGTTTTATCATGACTATTCCTATATACATATTCATATAAATGCATAACCAAGAGTGCAATTGCTCATTTGGAGGGCATGCCATCTTTAGCACTATGACTATTAAATAAATTGTTTGCATTGATTAAGAGAGTGATATTCCACATCATCACCAGGACTGTGGATTGTCAGACATTTTAAGTAACTGTGGCTCCCCATACAGGATAACTTGGTTAAACTTGCTATTCACTTGGCATCCCTAGCATTATATTATTGTCATCATAAGAATGGAACCCAAAGTTCTGGAGTTTTTAATCAATTATTAAACAACAATTAATCGAATAGCGTGTAAGTTCCTAACCTTGTGCTAGCCGTTGTCCTACGTTTGTGATAAGAATAGATAAAGTGCCCTTCTACCTAGCAGTTTAGACAATAAACAAAGAGAAAAGAAATTAAATGTGTATTGTATGATAGCAGGTTAGTGATAATCACTAATAATCCAATGAGTTTATATGATACCAAAATATTGATTAGATCAGGAAATCACTGCTAAAGAGGAAACATTATTTATCAGTATGTTTATAACAGATGGAGCAATGAGTATAAAAGTCATGTGTTAGGGTATGCAAGATGATGATATAGAGCAGAGTAATCAAGGCAAATGATAATGGTAGGTGGAGAAGCCAGCTTATAGTTCTGAGCAAGATTATATCTTTAGCTTTTATTAGGCATGTAAATGAAATACTTTTGAGATTTTCAGCTGGAAAAATGAAACTAATGTGAAATGCATTATATTGCCAGAGATGACTTCCATTGCCTGGTGGGGAAGAGACTGGAGGAAGGATGGATAATGGCAGCACACAGATGCTGCTGAGAAGCTATTTTAGTAGTTCATGTAAGAGACAATTGTCAAATTTGCAATAAACTTCCAGGTGAAATGGAATTGACTTTCTAATGGCTTGGAATGGTGTATATAAAACAGCTGGTAATGACTCCATGTTTTGAAGCTTTAGAAAATAGATTAATAATGGCTCAAATTACTGAGTGAAAAATTACTGGGAAAGAAGCAGGATTGGCAGGATGCAGATAAAGAATTCTCTTTTACTTACTAAGGTTGAGATGCCTATTTGATATTCAAGGCAGTCGCAAATGAGATGAGTGTTCAGGAATGAGATATCAGCTAAAGATATAAATTTTAGTCTTGTGCCCATATCTTAGCTGCAAGGAAGGATTTTATGAACTGCTGGTGAGACTGTAAATCAGTGCAATCAACGTAGACAAAGAAATAAATGCATACACCATGTCATCTTGTAATAACTCCCAACCCCCAACACCTAAAGAAGAGACTGTGTGTTTAAGTTGGGAGTGTATTGTGGAGTAAGAATAAGAAACAGGATGGGTGCTATAGGGAGAGAGAGTAAAATCTAGAACACATTATTAAGTTAGGTGATGGAATACTATATGACCATTCACTGAAGTGAAACAACGGGGGAAATATGTATCCATCAGCTCTAGGAGTTCCATTTTTCAAGCATAGCCTCATGGATGCTAACTTCTCGATGTGTCTAGACAGTGCATTTATGAGTAACAAGCAAAATGCCTACAACAATCCACACAACATTGTCTGAGAAATCCCACAGCAGAAAGTGAATTCTTGCTCTGGTCTGAAGCCACATACTATCACTTCCATCTTTATGAAACTGACCAAAGTCTACATAAAAATAGTAACCAAGGCTCTGACTGGAACAAGAGGTAATGCTGAGAGGGTCTGCAGTGATGTAAGATCCAATACACCCTATGATTTTTAAATTTTGTTCCTGGGTTTATAGCCTAGAGAAACTCTGACATATATATGTGTATATATATATACATTCATATATATACACATTTAATATATATATACACACATACACATTCATAGCAGCTTTTTGTTGAAATAGCAAAAAATGAGAAAAAAACTAAATGGCAATATAATGAACAAAAGGGAGCTGTGTTTTGATATTTTTATATAGTACAATGCTAAACAGCATTTAAAATAATTGATAAGAATTATATGGGCCAACATAGATGGACATCATCAATGTCATATAAAACAAAATAAAGCAGAAGGTAGATAGACACTTTTTTTTTGAGTCGGAGTTTTTGCTCTGTTGTCCAGGCTGGAGTGCAGTGGCGTGGTCTTGGCTCACCGCAACCTCCGCCTCCCGGGTTCAAGCAATTCTCCTGCCTCAGCCTCCTGAGTAGCTCGGATTACAGGCACCCTCCACCACGCCTGGCTAACTTTTGTATTTTTAGTAGAGACAGGGTTTCACCATGTCGGCCAGGCTGGTCTTGAACGCCTGACCTCAGGTGATCCACCCACTTAGGCCTCCCAAAGTGCTGGGATTACAGGCATGAACCACCACGCCCTGATGATAGACACGTTTTTAACTTCTAAAAATATATGATCATGATTGTGTCTGTGGAGACTTGCACATATACTAAATTTTAAACAATTAGAGATATTTGTTCATTACCACATTTTGGGAGTCATTATTTCCTCTATGAAGAGAGAAAGGAATTTGATACAAGTTCACAGGGGCTTCCAGTAGATTGAGACTTTTATTTCTAGCTGAGCTGCTGATGTATGAATTTTTTTTGTTATTATGACTTTCATATGTATTAAAAATAAAATGAAAAAACAAGGATTAGGTGAGGAACCTATACGTCTCTAATATGCAAAATACCACAGAAATAATGACTGTTGGGAAATTAGGCCTTAGCTCTGATGTTTGAACCATCCCCTCAATGTTTCCCAGTGCTTCTTAGAGTATTTTGATCACCTCTGTGTTGGTGCTTTAGAACTAGAGAAGAACGTTTTGTTAACTTTTTTTTTTTTTTTTTTTTTTTTGAGACAGAGTTTCACTCTTATTGCCCAGGCTGGAGTGCAGTGGCACAATCTCGGCTCACTGCAACCTCTGCCTTCTGGATTCAAGCGATTCTCCTGCCTTGGCCTCCAGAGGAGCTGGGATTACCTGCCACCACATCTAGCTAACTTTTTGTATTTAGTTGGTCGGGCTGGTCTTGAACTCCTGACCTCAGGTGATCCACCCATGTCAGCCTCCCAAAGTGCTGGGATTACGTGCGTGAAACACTGCACCTGGCCTTTTGTTAACTTTTAGTTTAAGTTCAGGAGTACACGTGCAGGTTTGTTATACAGGTAAACTCGTGTCATGGGGATTTGTTGTACAGGTTATGTTGTCACCCGGGTATTAAGCTTAGTACCCATTAGTTACTTTTCCTGAACCTCTCCCTTTTCCCACCCGCTACTCTCAGGTAGGTCCGAGTGTGTGGTGTTCTCCTCTATGAGTCCATGTGTTCTTATCACTTGGCTCACATTTATAAATAAGAACATGCTGCATTTGTTTTTCTGTTCCTGCGTTAGTGGGAGCTGAGGATGGGTGGAGCTGAGGATAATGGTCTCCAGCTCCACCCATGTTCCTGCAAAGGACATGATCTTGTTCTTTTGTATGGATGAATACTATAAAGTCTTCCAAACTGTTTTGGTTTTGGTTTGTTTTCTTTCTTGAGAAAGGAAAGACAAAACAGAAATAAAAGAGTAGGCCGAGCGGGGTGGCTCACGCCTGTAATCCCAGCACTTTAGGAGGCTGAGGCAGATGGATCACTAGGGGTCAGGAGTTTGAGACCAGCCTGAACAACATGGTGAAATCCCGTCTCCACTGAAAATACAAAAAATCAGTCAGGCATGGTGGCACATGCCTGTAATTCCAGCTACTAGGGAGGCTGAGGCAGGAGAATCGCTTGAATCTGGGAGGCAATGGGTTGCAGGGTGTGCTGGGATGGCACCACAGCCTGGGTGAAAGAGTGAGACTCTGTCTCAAAAAAAAAATAATAAAATAAAAAAGGGAGAGAGAAAGAGTACCAATGTATGGCAGAAATCAAGAGAAGAGTTTGCTTTTTTGAATAACTACACCCTGGACATTAGTTTCAAGAAACCGTCTGCTGGAAATATAACTATATGTTTAAGTTGATGGATCATTATTACACGTAGCAGAAAGAAAGTCACTCCTTGCTAGAAAGCCCTGTGTAGGTCATTAGGCATCACAGTGTGGAGTTATCTAAGCAAGCACCAAGGTAGGATATCTGAATAACTGATTTATTTCCATGTTTACTGACAATATTCATTGCAACAAGTCAGTAGAGAAACAGTAAAGAGGGCAGGCATGGCTATGCTTCTATAGAATCTAGTGAAGAGGAGATAATTTCAAATAACCCAAGAAGGTAAATGAGTAGTCAAATTTTCAAAAGGACTATTAACTCACAAACAGGAAACTATAATAGAAAATAGTTGGTTGAAGGCAGAATGCCCAGTTCAGAAAAGATTCCTCTGAAAAGCAATATATAAGCATAGACTTCGAGGATGAAGAGTCACTCATTTTGAAAGAGCAGATGAAGAAAGTTTCAGGACAAAGAAACAGCCATCTGCAAAGACCTCAACAAAGATATCACACAGAAAATGCTGTATTTAATCTGTTGCTAGACAAAAGTGAGCTACGGATCACATGGTCTTGGATGAGGGAGACAGCTGATATAGTTTGGATGTCCCGCCCAAATCTCATGTTGAAACCAGATCCCCAGTGCTGAAGGTGGAGCTTGGTGGGAAGTGTTTGGATCATGAGGTCGAATCCTTCGTGACTTGGTGCTGTCTCCATGGTAGTGCACCTACCCCAACATACTCTCTCTCTCTTGTTCCTGCTTTCACCATGTGAAGTGCCTGCTCCTGCTTTGCCTTCTGTCATGAGTAAAAGCTCCCTGAGGCCTCTCCAGAAGAAGATGCCACTGTGCTTCCTGTACAGCCTGCAGGACTGTGAGTCAATTAAACATTTTTATAATATCCAGTCTCAGATATTTCTTCATAGCAATACAAGAACAGCCTAATATAACAGATAAGCAGGGACTAAAGTCATCAAAATTAGAATTGTGCATTTAATTTTGATTGCATTTAATTTTGATTGCATTTAATTTTGATTGCATTGAAAAGGCAGATGCTTTGAGGCTAGAATGAGGTAATAACTGTTTTGTTTTGTTTTGTTTTGTTTTGTTTGCTCTTAACAAATTAGTGTGACTTCAGTCCATAGTAAATTGGAGAGGAACTGGTAGAACATAAAAGAACTGGTAAAAAGCCATTGTAAACACTCAAGTTTCAAAAACAATTTTGTGGTAAGGGCAAATCCTCAGGTCAAGAAAAGTGTGTTACTAAATTCTGTTAGTTTCCAGAAGAAAGATAAAGTCATATGACACAGATTTTACTCCTTACGTTAGAGAGTGTGCTAAGGATACCACCCACATTTTCCAACATTTATTTCCATCATGTTTTATGATCTTCATCTATATTCCATCCTCGTTATTTCTAGCAAGTCTATGAAATTTCTTACATTAATAGAAATAATGTATTAATATTCAGCAATGTGCTAAACATTGTTGAAACATTGTCTCAATATTACTCTTGGAAGAGCTCTAAGGTAGACAATATTTCCAATATATGAGTCATGAGGAAACTGAGGAATGGAAAGATTAAACAACTTGTTGAGGGTAGCATAATTGTAAATGGTGAAGACATAATACAAATCCTAATATCTATGACTCTAATGCTTTAAAAAATCATTATATACACTACGCTGTCTCTGATGTGTGAATCTACCCACTTCTAATTCATTATAACAAGTATTTGTTGCCAGGTAGCATTCCGGGCTTTGGGGATACATCTTTGGAAAAGCTTACAGAAATCTCTGTCCTCAGGGAACTAATATTCTAGGGACTATACAATAAACAATAAGCAAAAATGTAACATGTATAGTGTGTTAGACTGTAGTAAGTACAATGGCAAAAAATTAAGAATGGAGAATGTCTAAGGGGACAGATTGTTTGGAATTTGAATAAAGTGGCTATGGAAAACTTCACTGGGATAATGGCATCTGACCAAAAGCATGAGGAAGATATAGAACAAACCGTATCTGTTGCATGTTTAGTAATAACCAAGAAAATACTGTACGTGAAGCTGAGTGAGAAAATTACATAGTGGAAGGAGGGAAGTCCATAGAAGAATTGGGGGCTTCATGTGGTGGAGCATCTATAAAGCATTGTGCAAGATTCTGACTTTTACAATGAATGAAACGAGAGATCAGAGTTTTACACAGAAAAAGGTAATAACCTGATACATGTTTTAAAGTGATTATACAAATTGCTCTTTTGAGGATGTACTGAAGGGTGCCTTACGCAGAATCAGAAACACCTGTTTGCTGGCCATTTCAATAACCTGGGCAATAAATGATGGTGGTTAGCACCAGGATGCTAGTGGTGAAAGTAGCAAAAATGATCAGAATTGAGCTGCATTTTGAACATACAGTTAATAAGTTCTGTGGCATGACAGAAAAATGATTCCATAATATTTCTATTGAGCAACCTTGTTGATGTGATATTCAAACTAAGTCCTAATATTAAACAATGTAGGAATTTCAATGAAAATATGACCAAAGGGAGAAAATGGCTCCCAACCTACTGTAATTAAAGTTCCCTTCTGTTGTTTTAAAATGCTACTATTGATAGAGAAAACAAGATATGGATTTGGAAGAAAATTACCCACAGTCTAATTGTCAGATTTATTGACTTAAAAATGTTACATGGCAATAAAGTTGAAAGAAAAATAAGAAGAAATTCTAAAAGCCAGCATGTTAGATTTATTCCCTCCACAAAAAGAATTGCTAATATTTATAAAGTGAGATAATAGGCCAAATACTTGTACTTGGCATAATTGCATTTTCTCAACAAATCCTATATAATCAACATTGTTTTATTTGTATATGTGTGAAAAATCATGACACCTGCAGTTTAAGTTACATTTGTATGAAACAGTCAATATGTGGCAGAGCCAGAATAAAGCCCACGTTTAGATTAAAGGAATTCTCTTTCCATTGCACCCACCCGTATTGCCTGTGGAAACCCTAAACAAGCCATTTAAATTTGTTGGAATTCCGTTTTTCAACTTTTTAAAACCTCTTAAGAGTCCAGTCCTAAATCAAGTTAATGTTTAAATTCTTCACTTATGCTTAGTATGTACATTATTCCAAAATGTGAATTGGTCCCAAATATCATATTCATTCTAACAGAGGACATTAAAAGTTTAAAAGATATCTGTTATATGGCTGAACTGATTATATTTTATCGGAAAGTGAAAGGAACTACTCAGCATATTTCTAATGAGTATACAGAGGAAAAGTACTTTGCCTCATTTAATTTTGTAAAATCTCTCTCTGGCACATAATTCACAGTCTTTTTTTGCCCACAGGAATAGTGAGGCAGATATGTATTAATTCATGTCATAATACAAGAATAGGTAGCGATAAAACACTGGCATTTTCCAAATTGCCAGTATAAAGAATTGCCAGAAGAACATGGGTATTAGCTTCAGATTCGCCAAGGGGTTAACATTTATGTTATCTGTTAAATATGAATTATGTATTAACTTCTCATATTTCATATATAAAACTTTATGCTTTGGTCCTGTTCCTCGGGATGACCTTGATGTAATCAGAAATAATAGTGTTCTTTACCAAAGACATTAATCAATAACTTTATAATACGAAGCACTATGAATATTTAATGGCTTCAGCTTGAATAATTCAAATCCCGTATTACTAAAAAATAAAGTCAGTTGAGTGACTGAGAGTTCCATATTCCACAATTCCTACTCTGCTTACTACCTATTCTATTTACTATTCTCTTTACTATTTGAGAAGGGTATGGAGTTGTGTATGTTGCAAACATCACGTAACTTTTGTTCGACTTTCTTGAACACGTCATATTATTTTTTTTAGTTCATTTTCTGAATATAAGTAATTTTTGGTGAATTAATACTTTAAACAAGAGTTCACCTGGAAAGCAGTAGGCAAAATTTCATTAAAAATATTATTTTATTAACATACCTTAAAAATGTAATAGGACAATGCCTCAAAGAACAATTTCAAAATAAAAACACAGAAAACAAATGACCAGCAAAATTGCTCTGAAGTCTTAAAAACAGAAATAAATACTTCAATAATCATAGGTAATATGGAAATCCAATGTATGACTTACCTATAGAAAACCCTTCTGGAATTTCATTTAAATCTAACGTCAATATGAGCTATGTAGGAAGTCCATTAATAAATAAGAATATTATATAGGTACACATGTATATATTAATTTTAAGCCATATGCAGCCCTATTTGAAAATGTTAAAAAAAATCATCAGGATTAGTCCATACTGATTATTAAAAAATAAAATTGTCATTGCTCATTGTAGAAGATAAATGTCAGCTGTGCAGCAGATGTGTTTATAGCCACCCAGTAATCCTATCGCCTCAATAATGCATTTCCCTTTTTTTAGTTAAAAACTTAATTACATTAAGAAACTGTATGTGTTTAGGAATATGAATATAGAAGGAGTAATCGTTTAGTAAAATAAGTTTTACTTGCATATTAAAATTTACTGTGTTTGTGAAGATGCTGATAGTACATTACATATGGAGATCCAAGTGCACATAGTCACTAATTCTTTAAACTATGTTTGATATTAGTAATAATTTACTTTACATATATATCGGAATTTAATTGAAAAATAGTAAATGACTGCTAATATACATTATTCTTCTGAGTTGCATTTTTGCTTAATGAAATAGAATTTTTAAAAAAATTGTTTATCTTTATTCCTACTAGATTATACATTTCATGAGAAAAGCATTATCTCTTTATTAGTATATTTGTTTACCTATATTAGAACTTGACTTTGAAATAAACCAGATATAATACCATTGTTGTAGATGTATTTATTGTAGTAAAAATAATATTCTGCATCTGAGTTTTGAGCAAGGAGATTTTACAGTCTCCTTTCAGTTAGAAAACTACAAGACCCTCTTAACTGATGTTGGAAATGTAAGTAAAGAAGATAAAAATTAAAATGATAAAGAAAAGCATTTGGGGTATAGTAGCACTGTGCTTCCCAGGAGAATGAGTTGTTAAGTGCTCACTCCGCATTTTTCAGTAACATATACTTAAAGTAAGCACACAGGGGCTACAGACGCTATTTTTTGGTTCAACATGACCTGAGCAGTTAATTATTTGTAAAGGGAAGAAGCAAGAATAGGCTCAGGGAGGGAGACAGAGAAAGACTGGGTGGGGCGGGGAGGGAGGGAGAGTTTCACCTGTATCTAAAACAGATCAGAAGCAATTTCTTCCTCC
Organism: Homo sapiens; assembly: GCF_000001405.40. NCBI lineage: Eukaryota > Metazoa > Chordata > Mammalia > Primates > Hominidae > Homo > Homo sapiens. The sequence goes on from NW_003315917.2 coordinate 1,123,853, forward strand.
AACTCCTCACTTGTCTATTTCTACTAATAAAGAGCAAAACCAGACAAAATAGATTATTGTGTCATTTTTGTTTTCTTATTTTGTAATACACAGAAAAACTCAAGCTGGAGACGGAAATGAACAGATGCACATGGCTGGAAAGACTCAGTGCTAATCTCTACAATGTTGTTTTAATAGAATGGAGACAGGACCACATACTTTCTTACAATAATGAGGATCAATAAAGACAAAACTGACACTTTGTAATGAATAATGATCTGAACACTCACCTGAGAAAGTATCTCTTTGTTGCAGGTTTTTGGAAATGGGCTATATTTTTTGAATCATAACCGATATGTACTGCCATAAACAAGAGGATTTCAAGCCAGCTCCATCTGGTCGAAAATTATTTTATTTATTACTAAGAGAAAAGTGTAAGACAAGTCCTGTGGTAAAAACAGATTTATTGCCTCTGCTATTCACCTGTGTTATTTCTTCATATATTACCATTGACATATATTATCCATTCTTCACAGCAATGGCTTTGCCGTGGCAAATTAAATATCTCATTGTCCTTCTCTGTCCATTTTACATTATAATGTTTCTGAGCAGACTTTTATAGCTCTCTCACAGAATTATAGCAAGTCTTTAAATAAAAACAAAATTGAAACAAAAATTTTAGACTCAACTTAAAATCCCTCTTTATTTTATAATTTGGATTTTTAAGTAAAATATGCTATATCCTATTTAACGAGAACTTTCATATGTAATGTATCAATGGAATTATCTAAAGCTCATTTGGTTTTGCATAAAAACACAATTAGAGTAAAAACATTCTAAAATAGACACTGGAATAAAAACAATGAAAGCAAAACTATTAATTTTACATTTTTCATTCAAGTATTTTGATTTTTACTATATTATATTATTATATTAGGTATCAGAGTAATCATTGATCGCTTTCAAAACCCTGCTCCTTTCTAGGTGCAATGAAGAATTTTTATTTTATTGAAAAGTTATCTTAAGATGTAAGACTTGTGAATGATAGTAAAGATTTAGTAGACCCAATGTATTCTCAGATAAATGTAAAATAAGCAAGATATGAATTAAAGGATAAATATAGAGTTTAACAGCATAGATCTTAAAATCCATTATCATAAGGTAGAAGGATGTATAATTTATCATGATTAAAATATACTAAATATTCATATCACAGCATTCTGATTTCTGATATCTACAATTTAGGTGACATATATACATATGTGTGTATATATATATAACTGTATTATTTGATATTTTAAAAGATAAAAGAGTTATATATTCAAATACCAGTATAGATGTTGCTCTGAAAGTATTGTTAGATGAGATTAACATGAAAATCAGTAATTTCTGAGAAAAGCAGATTATTTTCCAAAATATTGTAGGGCTCATCCAGTCAATTGATTATATTAAAAGACTGAGATCCCTCAAGGAAATAATTCTGCCTGCAGATTGCCTTTCGACTTGAGACTGTAACATCAACTTTTCTCTAGGTCTCTTGCTTGCTAGCCTACCCTGCCAATTTTTTATACATTAAAAAATATTTTTCTCAAATATTGTAGTTCTGCTATTTCCAGAAACGCTTGAGGATTGTACTTCCAAGTTCTTTTAAAGTTGATCATCGTCATGAAACTCATCATCAAATGGCATTTGAGCAAAATCTTTATTAATTAAACATGAGTGGAAGTTTAAAGGCCAAAGCACAACTCACTCAGGCATTGTGAACTATGTGTGCAGACAGATCACAACTCATCCTTGGTCTCTGGGTGTGTCTGCGTCTATTACTGACTTACCCTGGATATGTAAAATGAGTAAGAAAAACTTTTTGTGTTAGCCACTGGGATTTTTGGTTTGTGTATTACTTTAGCATATTATCTCATTTTGAATGCTATAGTTTAGGACACTAGTTTAAACTACTGAAGTTAAAATGTTCTCCTTATTTCAGAGGAGAGAAGGATCTTACAGTGACAGACATCCATTAGTAAGAATTAATTTCTAGAGATAAAGTGAATTCAGTAACCACAGTGTCAGTAGAGTCAGCATGGTCAAAATAGTCTACATGGGAAATGTTTGGTGGCTCTTAGTTGATCATGGAGTCTCTAGAACCAAAAGTTATGAATGCCAATTAAGTTTCGATTTGGCTTATATGATCTCAAATCTTCAGGTTTACAAAACATATCTTGAGCCACCACCCAGCTCTGTCACCCAGGCTGGAGTGCAGTGGCACCATCTCAGCTCATTGCAGCCTCCGCCTCCGAGGTTTAAGCGATTCTCATGCCTCAGCCTCCTGAGTAACTGGGACTACAGGTGCTCACCACCATACAGGGATGTTTTTTCTATTTTTTTGGAGAGACACGGTTTCACCATGTTGGCCAGGCTGCTCTCGAACTCCTTACCTCATGATCCGCCCACCTCGGCCTCCCAAAGTGCTGGGATTACAGGCGTAAGCCACGGCGCCCAGCCCATTTTTTCTTTTCACCCACCTCGGCCTCCCAAAGTGCTGGGATTACAGGCGTGAGCCACTGCACTGAGCCTACAGCTCATTTCTTAACACATAAAGCTTTGCACCTCTCCACAAAACTGCCATCAGGGATGTCCCCAGAAACCATTCATCCCAGGTGCCACGCAGAGAAGAGTTGCTTGTTCTCCTTTTCCCTTTACCTCTTCCCTCTCACCTCATCATGTTCATTCATTCATCCCTTTTCCATTCTCACTTTTAAGCTTTAACCTTTCAAAAGCCTATCTTCCCCTATAAGTAATGTATTGTAACTCCCGCCATCACCATATCCTTCTCCAACCAACCAAACTGCCATCCTGAGTTTATGGAAAGTCCATAAACTAAGAAGAAATGGGAAACATTCATTGCTAACTTGGCAGCCCCTCATCCACCCTACGTGAGAGCACAGATCTTATTGTCTTTGAAGACCCTTTCTTTTTTTTTTTTTTTTTTGAGAAGCAGTCTCACTGTCGCCCAGGCTGGAGTGCAGTGGCACAATCTCGGCTCACTGCAAGCTCCAACTCCTGGGTTCATGCCATTCTCCTGCCTCAGCCTCCCGAGCAGCTGGGACTACAGGCACCCGCCACCACGCCCGGCTGATTTTTTTTGTATTTTCAGTAGAGACAGGGTTTCACTGTTAGCCAGGATGGTCTCGATCTCCTGACCTCGTGATCTGCCTGCCTCGGCCTCCCAAAGTGCTGGGATTACAGGCATGAGCCACCGTGCCCAGCTCCTTTTTTTTTTTAAAAGACAGGTCTCACTCTGCTGCCCAGGCTCAAGTGCAGTGGTGTAATCATGGCTTACTGCAGCCTCCAACTCCTGTGCTCAGGCTATCCGCCTGCCTCAGCCTCCCAAGCAGCTAGGACTACAGGCACACACCACCACACCTAGCTAATCTGTTTAGTTTTTGTAGAGATGGGGGTCCTGCTATGCTGAACAGGCTGGTCTCGAACTCCTGGCCTCAAGCAATCCTCCCACCTTGGCCTCCCAAAGTGCTGGGATGACAGGCATGAGCCACCATGCCTGGTCTGAAGACTTTTAAATGCTGCCATATTCAAGACGCGTTGAAACTCACCTGTATTCGATGAGCCTGCTTTTCGCAAATGAGTAACATAAAACAGACTGAAATACCTTAAGCTTCTCAGCCTTTTACCCTCCTCTGGAATAATGAGTGTATCCCAAAAGTAAATCCATAATGAGGTCCAGTTTTTCCTTCATCCTTGGCTATGAAATAGACAAGAAAAAGGCAAGCTAGCCATTTCCATCTCACTATAGCAGACTCTCATGTTTGCTTTTTGACCGTACGTGGGAAGCGGGGGCCTGACTGCTTTCCTACTTCCTAAGCACAACTTACTTTTCCTAGGAAATTATCAACACAACCTACATGGATTAAACCAGGTTCCCCCCTTTGTTTCCAATATTCTTACAGCCAAAATGTCCAGAATGGGCAAGGCAACCTGAAAAAATGAGGACGGGTACATTATCCCATGCGCTAAACTGCCACTTACACTGGTTAGTCATGAAATCGGCAAAATTCCAGATGAGCTCTCCAACCACGTATTTTCTGCGTTTTTGATCCAGACCCAGATGGTACTGCTCTAGCAGACTTTTCTGGTCCTCTTCACTGAACATCAGAGGTGGATCCTGGGATTCAAGGCAAAGAGAATTAAGAGTAAGAACTGGCAGAATTGTAAATGTTAGATAAAAATAAAGATCCACTTGATGGTGACCAAAATATCTGTCCTCACTGGGGGCTGTAGGGACTGCAGGACTCACTGATGCTAGGGTAAAGACAGCCAGGGAGAAATTGGAAATCATCATTCTCAGTAAACTATCGCAAGAACAAAAAAACAAACACCGCATATTCTCACTCATAGGTGGGAATTGAACGATGAGATCACATAGACACAGGAAGGGGAACATCACACTCTGGGGACTGTTGTGGGGTGGGGGGAGGGGGGAGGGATAGCATTGGGAGATATACCTAATGCTAGATGACGAGTTAGTGGGTGCAGCACACCAGCATGGCACATGTATACGTATGTAACTAACCTGCACAATGTGCACATGTACGCTAAAACTTAAAGTATAATAATAATAATAAAAAAATACAAAAAAAGAAACGACAGCCAGGGAATGATGTAACCCAGAATTAAAAAGGAGGTTTAAAAAAAAACCATCAATTAGCAACTGCTTTATTTATAAATATAACCTGATACTCAATTTTTCTTACTTTTCCGTCTCTGTCTGCTGATACAGTCTTAAGGCTGAACTACACTAGAAGGAAAAATATGTCTTTAGGTCAGGCGCGCTGGCTCATGTCTGTCATCCAAGCACTTTGGGAGACCGAGGTGGGAGGACTGCTTGAGCCTAGGAGTTCAAGACTAGCCTACAAAAAGTACAAAAGTTAGCCAAGCATGGAGGCACACACCTGTGGTCCCAGCTACTTGGGAGGCTGAGGTGGGAGGACTGCTTCAGTCCCGGAGGTCAAAGCTGTGGTTTGCACCACTACACTCCAGCCTGGGTGACAGAACAAGACCCTATCTCATGAATGAATGAATGAATGTAAAATGAAATTAAACTAAACCAGGCTGGGCATGGTAGCTCAGGTCTGTAATCCCAGCACTTTGGGAGGTCGAGGCAGGAGGATCACTTGAGCTCAGGAGTTCAAGATCAGCCTAGGCAACACAGTAAAACCCAGTCTCTATAAAAAGGCTAAATATTCGCTAGGTGTAGTGGCGCATGACTGTGGCTCCAGCTACTTGGGGGGCCGAGGAGGAAGGATCACTTGAGCCCAGGAGGTTGAGCAGTGAGCTGTGATTACGCCACTGCACTCCAGCCTGGGCAACAGAGTAAGGCTGTCTCAAAAAAAAATTTTTTTTAATTAAACCAAATAAATTCAGTTATCCTAGTCATATATCAAGACCTCAATAGCCACATGTAGCTAGTGGCTACCATTTCAGACAGTGCAGACATGGGGCATTTCCATCATTGCAAAGGTTCTTTTTTGAAACAAGGTCTCACTCTGTCACCCAGGTGGGAGTACAGTGGTGCAATTATGGCGGACTGCAGCCTTGACCTACTGGGCTCAAACAGTCCTCCTACCTCAGCCTCCCAAGTAGCTGGGACTAGAGGCAAGCACGACCATACCCAACTATTTTTTTTTTTTTTTTTTGAGACGGAGTCTTGCTCTGTCGCCCAGGCTGGAGTGCAGTGGCACAATCTCGGCTCACTGCAACCTCCACCTCCCCAGTTCAAGCGATTCTCCTGCTTTAGCCTCCTGAGTAGCTGGGATTACAGGTGCATGCCACCACACCCAGCTAATTTCTGTGTTTTCTTAGTAGAGACGGGGTTTCACCATCTTGGTCAGGCTGGACTTGAACTCTTGGCCTCGTGATCCACCCACCTCAGCCTCCCAAAGTGCTGGGATTACAGGCGTCAGCCACTGCACCCAGCCACAACTCATCTTAAATATTTTGTAGAGATGGGGTCCATGTTGTGCAGACTGGTCTCAAACTCCTGGGCTCAAGAGATCCTCTGACCTCGGTCTCCCAAAGGGCTAGCATTCCAGGTGTGAGCCAGCACACCCAGCACTGCAGAGGTTCTATCAATGCTCACCTAGACCCTCTCGAGTTTCTTAAGAATTCAGAACTGGGGCTGGGTATGGTGGCTCATGCCTGTAATTCCAGCACTTTGGGAGGCCAAGGCAGGTGGATCGCTTGAGGTCAAAAGTTCAAGACCAGCCTAACCAACATGGTGAAACCTCATCTCTACTAAAAAAAAAAAAAAAAAAAAAAAATTAGGTGAGCATGGTGGTGCATGCCTGTAATCCAAGCTACTTGGGAGGCTGGTGCAGGAGAATTGCTTGAACCTGGGAGGCGGAGGTAGCAGTGAGTCAAGATTGCACCACTACACTCCAGCCTGGGCGACAAGTGAAACTCCTCCTAAAAGGAGAAAGAATTCAGAGCTGGTTACCTTTTCAAAGAGAATGAACAAGGGTGCATATCCACAAATCACTTCCCCCTACTTGACTAGTTTGCAGAAGTGTCATTCTGTAAGCACGATAAATTTAAGGGTGCAAACAGAACAGTGCAGTCCATTGTGGGTGGCTGTTCCCTGTGTGTCAACGGGAGTCCCAGGAGCTGTGCAAAAGAGTGTGAGCTGGCTGGGGAGGGGACAAGGGGCTGGATGGGGTTCAGGAATCCACATGAAAAAAACCCCACAAGACAAAGCAACATATCTTTGGTGAGAAGGACAAAAAATGAGATGGATAAACAAATGAGGACAGGCCAGGCATGGTGGCTCAGGCCTGTAATCCCAGGATTTTGGGACGCGGAAGCAGGCAAATCACTTGACGTCAGGAGCTCAAGACCAGCCTGGCCAACATGGCAAAACCCCACCTCTACAAAAATACAAAAATTAGCTGGGCATGGTGGCAGGTGCCTGTAATCCCAGCTGCTTGGGAGGTTGAGGCAGGACAATCGCTTGAGCCTAGGAAGTGGAGGTTGCAGTGAGCTGAGATCACACCATTGCACTTCAGCCTGGGTGACAGAGTGAGACTCCATCTCAAAAAAAAAAAAAGACAAAGTGAGTGATTAAACATGGCTCTAAGATCTCACCCATGCCCTCAATAGGTATTATTTAGCATGTACTGTGTCAGCTATTGCAGAGTACCTGGGAAACAATAATAAATAGGACTCCTGTCTCCTGAGCCCACAGTCCGATCAAAGAGAGAGCCAAAGAAATAACAACGGTGCCTGGCGAGAATGTTGGGGGAGCCAGGTTCCGGCTGCAACAGGGCAGAGCACGGGGAAGGTTCCCTCCGCCTGGGGCAGGCAGGGTAAACCTCCCCACAGAGGGGACAGCTATGAGGAGACTCAGATGCCAAATAGGAATCTTTTCAGCCACGTGTCGTGACTCATGCCTGTATTCCCAGTACTTTGGGAGTCCAAGACAGGAGGTGAAGACCAGCCTGATAGCGAGACTGCATCTCTACAAAATATTTTAAAACTAGGCTGCACATGGTGGTGCACGCCTGTAGTCCCAGCTACTCAGGAGGCTGAGGCAGGGGAATTGCTTCAGCCCAGGAGTTCGAGGCTGCAGTGAGCTATGATGACACCACCACACTCCAGCCTGGGCAACAGAACAAGACCCTGTCAGGAAAAAAATAAAAAATAAAAAAAGGCTAGCACAGTGGATCACACCTGTTAATCCCAGAACTTTGGGAGGCCAAGGCAAAAAGATCAATTGAGTCCAGGAGTTTGAGACCAGCCTGGGCAACCTAGCAAGACCCTATCTCTAAAAAAATAAAAAGAAAAGGATCTTTTAGTTGGTGATTATGGTGCCAACTTGGGCATTCCAGGCAGAAAGAATAGCTCAAGCAAGAGCAGGAGAGCAAATGAGGGCAGTGGAAACAGATCAGTGGCCAGGAGTGAGAAGAGAAGAGGATGAAAACCCAGGAGAGAGCAGAGGACACTGAGTGTCCTGACTAGGGGTTAGGACTTTGTCCTATGGGCCTGGGGGAGCCAATGACAGGACTCAAAAATTTTGATTTGTGGCCGGGCACAGTGGCTCACACCTGTAAATCCCAGCGCTTTGTGAGCCTGAGGCAGGAGGGTCACTTGATCCCAGGAATTCAAGACCAGCCCGGGGAACACAACAAGGCCCCATCTCTACAAAAGTAAAAAAATTAGCCAGGCATGGTGGCCTGTGCCTATGGTCCCAGATACTCAGGAGGCTGAGGTGGGAAGATCGCTTGGGCCCAGGAGGTTAAGGCTGCAGTGAGCAGTGATCGCACCACCGCACTCCAGCTTGGGTGACACAGAGAGAGGCGGTCTCAAAAACACATAAAAATTTGGATTTCTTAGAAAGACCACTTGGGCACGGGTGATAGGAGGCTGTCTGGAAACAAGGCCAGTAAGGAGTCCACCTTTGAGGACCAAGCGAGTGGGGCAGAGGCCTGGCTGCTGGTGAGAAGGGAACGTGGACAGGGTAGCGGGAGGTGAGCCCAAAGCTGAAGCAAGGGGAGCACTGCAGTGGGCGCAGGGCAGGGTGGGGGAGGCAAGTGGCATCTCTGCCCAGAGAGAATACACAAGCAGAAAGTTCAACACCGCTTACCTGGTGAAGCCCTACAAGCGTTTCCACTCCATACGCGCTCTGAATAATGGGATTGTGATGTCTTACACCAATTCTCAAACTGGGCGGCCAGCTGCAGCCGAATCAACTCCAGGTGCCCGTAGTTGCGATACCAAGAGTAGTAGCTGTTCACACGGATCACATCCACATACAGAGCCTAGGACCAGAGCAGCAGAGCCCGTTCAGCAACCACAAGACCGCATGACTCAGTACTCACATGCTGTGGGGGCTCCTCTGACAGAGAAGGTAAGAAGGGGATGTAATCCCAGCACTCTGGGAGGCTGAGGCAGGAGGGTGGCTTGTGGCCAGGAGTTCGAGACCAGCCTGGGCAACACAGCAAGACCCCAGCTCTACAAAAAATAGTATCAAGAAAATCAGCACGGCACAGTGGCTCATGCCTGTAATCCCAGCACATTGGGAGGCCAAGGTGGGAGGATCACTTGAGCCCAGGAGTTTGAGACCAGCCTGGGCAACGTCGTAGGACTCCATTTCTACAAAACAAAACAAAAAGCCTACAACGGGAAGAGCTGCCTCTCGGGGCTGAGAACATCCAACTGCACCAATTTAGATCCTGAAATTACCCTGCCCCACAAGCAAAAAACATGGTCACAAAGTGGCCCAAAGGAGGCAGGCCTGTGATTGCACACTGACGCTCACGACGTGTGCAGCTGGGAAGGGCTGTGAGAGGCAGAGCAGCTGCCAACACGCAGTCCTCAGCCAAAACCCAGGGCCCCCGCCACTGGAACTGACTCCTCTCCAGGCAGCACTCCCAGCACTGGGCATCCCCTCACCTTGCCCTGGAGAAGCCCTCCCACCCAAGGGGCCAATGCAGTCATTCTCGCAGATAATCTTTTTCCGCTTTGTTTGGAAGACAGAGTCTCGCTCTGTTGCCCAGGCTAGAATGGAGTGGCACAATAATGCAACCTCTGCCTCCCACGATCAAGCGCAGGCGTGGTGGCATGTGCCTGTTATCCCAGCTACTTGGGAGGCTGAGGCAGGAGAATTGCTTGAACCTGGGAGGCGGAGGTTGCACTGAGCTGAGACTGTGCCACTGCACTCCAGCCTGGGCAACAGAGCAAGACTCTATCTTAAAAAAATAATAAAAAATAAAAAAGAATGCTAGTATCAGCCAGGCACGGTGGCTCATGCCTGTAATCCCAGCACTTTAGGAGGCTAAGGCAGGAGGATCACTTGAGCTCAAGAGTTTGAGACTGGCCTGGGCAACATAGTGAGATCCCATCTCTACAAAAACATTTAAAATTAGCCGGGCACAGTGGTGTACCCCCGGAGTCCCAGCTACTTGGAAGGCTGAGGCAAGAGGGTTGCTTAGGCCCAGGAATTCAAGGCTGCAGTGAGCTGTGATCACACCACTGCACTCCAGCCAGAGCAACAGAGTAAGACCTTGCCTTCACACACACACACAAAAAAACAAAAAACTCAGGTTCCAACCCTGGAGTTACTAAATCAGGATCTCAGAACGCAGAGATCTGGCATTTCAATAAAACTTCCCCTGGAGATTCTGATCAGCCAGGTTTGGGCCAGATGAACTCTAAGCTCACTTAAACCTTTGACATTTTATGAGTCTATTAAATCGAGTACAAAAAATGCTGAGTCCAAACCGGGCAAACAAATCCCATCTCCCTATGCCCAGCCTCCTTGGATTCAGAAAGCCACACTGCCTGGAGAGTAAGCAGAGAGAGAATTGTCATTAACCCAAAGACCATCTTTGAAAACAGACTGGCCGCGGCTGAGTGCGGTGGCACACGCCTGTAACCCCAGCCCTTTGGAAGGCCGAGGCAGGAGGATCACTTGAGCCCAGGAGTTCGAGACCAGCCTGGGCAACATGGCAAGACCCTGTCTCTATCTTTCTAAGTAAAACAAAATAAAAAGCTCAGACTGGCAGCACATGGTTCTTTCCAGCTGTTCCCATGAGCAGGCTTCAGGACAAGCCCAGGCAAAGGCAGGGAGAAATGGGGTGGGGACCCCCAGGCTCACCCCCTTGTCTGCTGCGTAGGTGGAGTTGGTCCCAAAGGTCACAGGCTGGGAGGGGTCCAAGGCTTTGGTGTGAGCAATCACCATCCTGTCCACAAAAGAGAGAAGACACAGGTTCCGTCAGTCCGGGAAAGGCTCAGACACCCTCCCATCCTCTCTGTCCCATCTTCCCCTGCCAGAACACAACTGGTGGCCAGGCACGATGGCTCACGCCTGTAATCCCAGCACTTCAGGAGGCTGAGGCAGGCAGATCACTGAGGTCAGGGGTTCAAGAACAGCCTGGCCAACATGGCAAAACCCCATTTCTACTAAATATACAAAAATTAGCCAGGCTTAGTGGCACGCATCTGTAACTCCAGCTACTCGGGAGGCTGAGGCACAAGAATTGCTTGAACCCGGGAGGTGGAGGTTGCAGTGAGCCGAAATCACGCTACTGCACTCCAGCCTGGGCCACAGAGCAAGACCCTGCCCCAAAACAAACAAACAAACAAACAAACAAACAAACAAAAAGAAAGAAAGAAAAGAAAAAAAAAAAAAAAAAACAAAGCACAGAGCCGCTGCTTTCTTCCCTAACTTGAGATGTATTTTACATAAGGGCACGTTCCTCTAGTCCTAGACCGAGCTCTCTAACAACACTCTTTCTCCCCCACCCCTGAATCCAACTCCCCCAGAGGCGTAGCCACCCTGCCGGGTACACAGAGCTGAGGTCACTGGACTGAACACTGCCAGAAATGAGGTTCACTTCCTGAAATAGCTCTTGAACACAGGAGTGAATGGGCTGTGGATTCAGGTGGAATATTTATTAATGCATCAAGCAAACAGGTAGTGCGAGGTGGGAGGTAGGCATGAGGCTGGGTGCTAGGTGCTCAGTAATGACTCAAATCTAAGTCCACAGGTCCTGGGCAGTGGGAGTGGAGATGCATGCACAGAAAAACGGTGCAAGTGCCAGGCGAGGTGGCTCAAGCCTAGAACCCCAGCACTTTGGGAGGCTTACTTGAGACCAGGCGCTTGAGACCAGCCTGGACAACATAGCAAGACCTTGTTTCTACAACAAATTTAAAAATTAGGGCCGGGCATGGTGGCTCAAGCCTGTGAGCACTTTGGGAGGCCAAGGCAGGTGGATCACGAGCTCAAGAGTTCGAGACCAGCCTGGCCAACATGGTGAAACCCCATCTCAACAAAAAATAAAGAAGAAAACTAGCTGGGCATGGTGGCGTGAGCCTGTAATCCCAGCTACTCGGGAGGGTGAGGCAGGAGAACTGTTTGTACCCAGGAGGTAGAGGATGCAGTGAGCCAAGATCGCAACACTGCTCTCCAGCCTGGGAGACAGAGCAAGACTCTGACTCGTGGGGAAAAAAAAATATTAAAATTTAGCCTGGCAAGGCAGCGCACGTCTGTGGTCCCAGCTATTTGGGAGGCTGAGTGGGGAGGATCGCTTAAGCCCAGGAGGTCGAGATGGCAACGAGCTATGATTGCACCACTGCACTCCAGCCTGGGCAACAGAGTGAGACCCTGACTCTGAAAAACAAACAATGAAAGAAATGTTGCGAATGGAAATGACAAGTGGTGGCAGGAATTGGGCACTCTATGAGACAACAGACACATCCCCGATTGGAGAGTCAGGGACAGGCTCTTAGAAGAAATGGCCTTTATGCTGAGTCAAGTTAACCAGGAGGGATGAAGGGAAGAGGCTCCCAACAGAGGGACCAGTCCGTGCTCAGAGCTCCCAGCATCTGCCCAAGGCCTCCACAGAACAGACTGTTGTGTTTTTGTTTTGTTTTGTTTTGTTGAGATACAGAGTCTCATTCTGTAGCCCAGGCTGGAATGCAGTGGCATTATCTCAGCTCATTGCAATCTCTGCCTCCTGGTTCACCTGAGGCGATTCTCCTGCCTCAGCCTACCTGGTAGCTGGGATTACAGACGTCCACCACCATGCCCAGCTAATTTTTGTATTTTTAGTAGAGACAGGATTCACTACCTGTTGACCAGGCTGGTCTCGAACTCCTGACCTCGGGTGATCCACCCACCTCAGCCTCCCAAACTGCTGGGATTACAGGCGTGACCCACCGCATCCGGCCTAGACCGTTGTTGAAGCTGGTTTTCTTCTTCTTTCCTCAGTTCTTTTCTTTTACATCTTCCCCCCATCATTGCTCTGCCCATCCGAAGGCTGTGGCTGGCACAGGACAGAATAGAACCTCCTAGCCTCAAGTTCCAAACCCACACTCTCCAATAGCCAGGCTCTCAGATGGGAAGCTTCAAAGCCTTGTGACAGCCTGGCTGAACCTCTCCAGCCTGGGCCCTTCCTCCATTTCCTGCCCCGGAAACAGGCATCTCCTCTGGCCACCTCCCAAAGCCTGTCTGGAAGCCTCAGGCACCCGCTCCTGGAAGCCTGTACGATTCACAACAAACGGCCTGTCCACCCAGTCGTGCTGAGCACACCCCTATTCCCCCGAGCTCTGAATTGTCCTTTGCCCAGGCTAGGACAACATCTCAGAGCCTTCTGCCTGCTGCAGACTCAAATCACTCCATGAAATTGGGGTGTGGCATCTGCCTCAAGGAGCATTTCTACAACCTCTGCTGCCTCTACCGCAAATGAAACTGGCTCTCACCCACTGGCTCTCGGTGACGGGCACAGTGCGGAGCCCCACAGGGAGTGTGTAGAAGTCAAAGGCCCCAGTGACTTCTGTGCAGTCAGCCGCACCTACGACAGCCAAAGCGCCAGGTGTGAGCGCCCCGACAGCCTGAGCCCCATCTGGCCTGCCCTACAGCAGGAAGACCCCTCGTGCATGCACCCCAGAAGTCGCCACTGGGCCTGCAGAGAAGCAGCAATCAGAGGCTCTGCCCTTCACTGGCTGACCCTGGGACCTGCCCTTCAAAATCAGGCCTTCTCCTTGACCAGACGAGGTGGCTCATGCCTGGAATCCCTACACCTTGGGAGGCTAAGGCAGGAGGATCACCTGAGTCCAGGAGTTCAAGACCAGCCTGGGCAACCTAGTAAGACCCCAACTCTATAAAAAGGAGTTTTTTTTTTTGAGACAGTCTCACTCTGTCACCCAGGATAGAGTGCTGCGGCATGATCTCAATTCACCGCGGCCCCTGCCTCCTGGGTTCAAGCAATTCCCCTGCCTCAGCCTCCCGAGTAGCTGGGATTACAGACGTGCACCATCATGCCCTGCAAATTTTCATATTTTAGTAGAGACGGGGTTTCACCATGTTGGCCAGGCTGGTCTCCAACTCCTGGCCTAAAGTGATCTGCCCGCGTCAGCCTCCCGAAGTGCTGGGATTACAGGTGTGAGCCACCATGCCCGGCCTACAAAAAAAATTTTTTTAATTAGCCAGGCATGGTGGCATGTGCCTGTAGTCCCAGCTACTCAGGAGGCCAAGGTAGGAGGATTGCAGCTCAAAGCTGCAGTGAGCTGTGATCAGGCCATTGCATTCCAGCCTGGGTGACAGAGTGAGACCATCACAAAAACAAATAAATAAATAAATAAATAAATAAATAAATAAATAAAAAATCTGGGCCTCCCACCAAGGGTGGGAAACATCAGAAAGCTCAGAGGACCACACCTGCCCGTTCACCTGTCCTGGGCTCCTGCTGAAGCCAGGGCTACCAGATGGGGGCAAAAGACCTCCCTTACGCAAGTCCCAAACCACCATTACCTCCCACGAGTACAGGTAGGCGGGGTGTTCGTGCATCAGGTACGGCCACCAGAGGTTGGCACCCAGCACCTTCAGCTGGCCCTGGGTCCCAGCCTGGTTGTCCACGACTTTGTTTTCTGCATTCAAAAGACACACTTCCTACTTGAACTGGTTACTGCACTTGACGGAGATCTGGTAATTCACCAGCCCTGCAGGAGGCAAGAGAGACCAGGGCTTAGGGAGGGACATGACCTGGGTCACACAAACGGGAAGGCCCCACAATGACCACTCCCAGGCACTCTCATTTGCTTCTGTTGCTTTTTTTTTTTTTTTTTTTGAGATAGAATCTCGCTCTGTCACCCAGGCTGGAGTGCAGTGGCATGATCTGGACTCACTGAAACCTCTGCCTCCCAGGTTCAAGTGATTCTCCTGCCTCAGCCTCTGGAATAGCTGGGATTACAGGCACCTGCCACCACATCCAGCTAATTTTTGTATTGTTAGTAGAGACGGGGTTTCACCACATTAGCCAGGATGGTCTTGATCTCCTGACCTCGTGATC